>NW_025791766.1:300000-489404 GCF_000001405.40 Homo sapiens
CTCTATTTATAAATGGACTTCATCCTGAACTTAGAAATTTAATTAGAAAACGTAAACTCGGATGGGAAGTTACAGCCATGACTGAATTGGTGGCTCTAGCTGAACATTTTGAGAGGACTGTAGAGCAAGAAAAAACCCAAAAGGCTAACAAGCTTATGACTCTTCAATTACAACAGTTACAGGGGCCAAGACCAAAGGGATCTTCTCATTCTCATTTTAAATCACAACCAAGAGGTATTAGACCAAGAAATTCTTCACCCTAAGATGTCTGCCTTATTGCAAACAACCAGGACAGTGGAATAGGGATTGTGCCCTTTTATATCAGCCCACCAATGACCCTCCCTTTAGGCCAGCCTGTTTCACCACTAGAGGGAGCACAAGAGACCTTAGCTCTCCTGAAGATAATCAGCATTGAAGCGGCTCTGAGGGATTTCACAGTATATTGCTCCTCATAATACCCTTAAAAGAATATGGAGAAACAGAGGTTACAGTAACTGGGGACTCATGTATAGTCTTGGTGGATACCAGAGCTACCTTATCTGCCACTACCATAAAACACACTTTCATAAGCCAACAGATCCCTCAGAGTTAAAAAGGCTATTTCTGTGGTTGGGGTTTCAAATCAAATTCAAGAGTTTCCCATATCTGAACCCGTCCAATTGACTTTGGGGCATTTTTCAAAAAATCACACTGTTGTACTATGTGATAGTGCTCCAGTAAATTTGCTAGAGGGAGATTTACTTTCAAAGCTGAAAGGGCATAGAAGACTACCTATTGGGTACATTGTAAACTGCTTGGGAAATGGGCACACTAAAATCTCAGAAATCAGCAGTAAAGAACTTGTCCATGTAACCAAAAACCACCTGTACTCCCAAAACTATTGAAATTTTTTAAAATAAAAAATTTTTAAAAGTGGGGAGGGTGTAAAATTTTCCTTGGAATAAGAATCAGTTTCCTGATTCTCCTGAACCAGAATTGTTATGTTCTCTATAGGCAGATATTAATAGGATCGAAACTCAGGCCTGTAATGCCTGATCTTCCAAAAATACCTAAATATTTATGGGCCTCTTCCTCAACTGATACAGGAAGAATTTAAAGTGTGTCACCTATTAACCTCCAAATAGACCACTCTAAACTTTTGCCTAAAGTACCCAATATCCACTAAAACTAGAAGCAATTCAAGGGCTCTTGCCAATTGTAAAAGATTTCATTAGACAGGGACTTATAATTCTATGCACCAGCCCTTATAACCCTCCAATCCTACTGGTTAAAATAAACCAAATGGATGAGGTTGAAGATTTGTTCAAGATTTATGGGCAGTTAACAAAATTGTAGTAGCAAGGTTTCCTATAGTTCCAAATCCTAATACTTCATTATCCAAGATACATGCTGATTCTTAAGTGGTTCACAATATTAGTTCTCTGCTCAGCCTTTTTTTACAATCCAGTTTATAAGGAGAGTCTATGCTTATTTGCCTTCACTTGGAAAAGTCAACAGTACCCCCAGATTGTGATGCTGCAAGGGTTTACCGAAGCCTCTTTGTGTTTTCCCAGGCATTGCATCAGGACTTAATGACATTATAGTTTCCTCAAAATTCTACTCTCATTCAGTACGTGGATGACTTACTGTATGCTCTCCCACTAAAGAGTACTCTGAAATGGACTCAGTTTACCTTTTACACAACTCACACATCAAGGTCACAAAGCTTCAGTAGAAAAACTTCAGTTTTCAAGGGGAAAAAGTCCATTATTTGGGACATTATTTGATGGTGTTTCCCTCTCACCTAAAAAGTTAAAAACTCTTCAAAATTTTCCTTGGCCTGCAACCAAAAGATAATTAAGAGGTTTTCTTGGACTTGCAGGATATTTTCTTGGACTTGCAGGATATTTTCTTGGACTTGCAGGATATTTTCTTGGACTTGCAGGATATATTCTTACACTTGCAGGATATAAAATTCCTGGGTTCTGAATTTTTCCTTAATAGCCTCACCGTTGTATGAGCTCACTAAAAAATGCTGTACCAGAGCCTTTACCTTGGGATGATAGTCATGAGCAAGCTTTTAGCTAAATAAAATTGGCCTTATAACAGCCTCCAGCTTTAGGACTTCCAAATTGCACTAAACTGTTTACCTAATTGGCTTATGAAAGTAATAATCAGGCATTTAGGAGTTCTTACCCAGGAACATGGGGAGAAACATAGGCCCATTGCATATTATAGCCTGCAATTAGACCCAGTAGCTAAGGTATATCCTAACTGTTTAAAAGCAGTAGCAGCAGCAACCAGGCTGAAAGAAGCTTCAGCTGATGTGGTTTTAGGAAATGAACTTAATATGGAAGTCCCACATGCTAAATTCCACCCAAACCCAGCATTTTTTAGTAAGTAGACTAACATCTTATGAAATGCTCTGTCTCCCTCTAATCTCTATCTAAAACACTGCAATTTACTTAACCATGCCCCTGTATTACTGCTGCCTGATGATGGTGAAGACCACAATTGCATAAGTGTAGCATCAGAAATAGTGGCCCCTCATGTTGATTTACAAGTTAGTCCATTGGACAATCCTGAGCTAATACTTTTGTTGATGGGTCCTATGCCAAAAGCTCAGAAGGAAAATATCAGCTAGGATATGCTGTTACCAAAATGAGTTAATAGAGAAGGGAATCCTTCCTCTATTAGTCAGCTCTATTAGTCTAAGCTCTATAAGTCAGCTTAACCCTCGAAGATTTTTGCCCTCACCCGAGCTTGTCATATAGCTAAAGACAAACCGGTAAGTGTTTAGACAGATAGTAGATACGCTTTAGGAGTAGTACATGATTTTGGCATGATAGGGAAACTCTAAGGGTTTCTCACTTCTAGTGGGATCACCATCAAAAAAGGACTCCAATTAGATAAACCACTAGATTGCTGTTATTGATCGAAGCTCATACCTGCAGAACTGAACCTGAATATCAAGGGAATGCTTAGCAGATATTTATGCTAAATCAGCTAGTACTGAAACTGTTCAGATATGCAACATGAACGAACTTCGTAAGATTAATCCAAGCCAACTACCTTACAATGACCTATTTAATAAAGAATGCAATGCACCTCATTTGGAAAAACAAAACTGGTATCTAAAAGGATATAAATTCAATGTTAAGTGCAAACTTGCAGAGGGCCTAGATGGCTGCCTGGTCTTTCCCGAGTCTTTGAAGCTTCCATTGTCAAAAGCTTTGAACTCCACAACTCATCATGGAACAGAAAAATTCATCCAAGTTGTGAAAAAATACTTGTGGGATGACTGTTCCAAAATTGCTAGAATATTTTTTTTTTTTTGAGATGGGGTCTCACTCTGTCACCCAGGGTGGAGTGCAGTCGTGCGATCGTGGCTCACTGCACCCTCCACCTTCCTGGTTCAAGTGATTCTCCTGCCTCAGTCTCCCGAGTAGCTGGGACTACAGGTATATGCCACCACGCCTGGCTAATTTTTTTTATTTTTAGTAGATATGGGGTTTCACCATGTTAGCCAGGATGGTCTCGATCTCCTGACCTCATGATCCACCTGCCTCGGCCTCCCAAAGTGCTGGGATTACAGGTATGAGCCACTGCACCCAGCCTGCTAGAATATTTTATAACCAATGTTGGCTAGTCAAACCCATAGTCCTGGAAAAACGAAAGATTCAGGTGGTGTATTGTATTTTCAACACCTAATGGACCATTTGAACAATTATACATGGACTTCATTCAGTTGCCACCTTCAATGTGGGTCTCAGTATGTTCTTGTAATAGTTTCCATGTTTTCTGGTTGGTTAGAGGCCTTCCTGTGTAGGAAAGCTGATGCTGTGACAGTAGCTAAGAAAATATTAGAAAATGTGTTTTCTTTATGGAGCATCCCTGGAAAAATCCCCAGCAATGGGGGAATTCATTTTATTAGGCAAGTTATAAAGCAGTTAAACAAGGTTTTATGGACACAATGGTACTACCATTATCCCTAGCACACTCAGTCTTCTGAAAAGGTTGAAAAAACAAATGACATATTAAAACTGAAATTGGCAAAGTTAACTGAATCAGTTGGGTTGCCTTGGCCAAAGGTACTATCATTGGATTTAATGGCAGTCAGATCCACTCACTAAAAAACAGAAGTGGACCCCTTATGAAATAGTCACTAGAAGGCCTATGCCCCAGTAGTAAAACCTCTTGCATCTTTCTCTCTCTGAAATTCTGATATAAGTAAGTACTGCAAGGCCATTATACCAAGTGTGCTTTCACCAGATAAAGGAAGCTTTTCAAGATCCACCAATTGAGGATAATCAAACCTTCCACAGTCTAGAACCTGGAGATTCTGTCTTCTGGAAATGACATCAGAGGAAGGCTGCTCTTGACAACTCTTTGGAAGGGACTGTGCCGAGTTCTTCTCAACACCTACACTGCAGTGAAGCTTCAGGGCCTTGAAACTTGGGTCCACACCTCACAACTCAAAAGGACCTCTTCAGACTCCTGGAACTGTACATCTGCTAGAGACTTTAAGGTAAAGCTGTCTAAGGAAAAATCTCCAGAGCAGATGACATTCTAGTTGTGGACAGCTTTCCCAAGATCACAGATGAAGACTTCTGTATCATCATGAAAGCCTTACATTTTTTTCTTTTCTCCTCATTTCCTGTTGCCCTAATTCTTTCTTTTTCCCTACAGAAAAATCCATGGGACCATAACCAGTGGATGCCTTTAGCTTGAGCATCTGCTGTAGCACAGAACCAGAGTTTGTGGATTATTGGGTTTGTTGTTTATTGCCAAAAAAATATAAGGAAACAATTCCACTAATGCCAGTGCCTCTCCATGTTCCCAATGAGAGTCACCCCAAAATTCCAAGGGAAGGATGGAAAGCTATCCTTGATATTCTGAACACCACTGCTACTTGCTTTCCTGCACTCACTAAAAAGAACACTTTAACTTTTCCTTTTTTTTTTTTTTTCTTTTTTTGAGACAGTCTCACTCTGTTGCCAAGGTTGGAGTGCAGTGGCCTGATCTTGGCTCACTGCAGCCTCCACCTCCCAGGTTCAAGGGATTCTCCTGCCTCAGCCACCCAAGTAGCTGGGACTACAGGCGTGCACCACCGCATCCAGCTGATTTTTGAATTTTTTGTAGAGACAGGGTTTTGCTATGCTGGCCAGGCTTGTCTTGAACCTCCTGGCCTCAAGTGATCTGCCAGCCTTGGTTTCCCAAAGTTCTGGGATTACAGGCGTGAGCCACCACACCCTGCCTTAACTGTTTCAATTAATAACCTGATCATTACCAAAGTATAGAAAACCAATCCAAGTGATGACTGCAAAAGATATATTGTGCTTTCAGGCATCATGTACTCAAGATTTGGGATTTACCTATGTGAGTACAAGTAATTGCTTGTATAATGTCACCAGATTAAATTCAACAGGGTCTCTTTTTACCAAATGTTTTATATACCCTTACAACATGCTATAAGAGGGGCACAAAAAGGTCAATTTCTCAATGGATTTTGTTCAGCAGCTATGCAGATTTATTAATGAACAAATCTAACTGAACCCTGCTCAAATGCAACTAGGTAGCCCTGTTTTTCAACTCCCAAGGACCTATTTTGGGTCTGTGGATAATCTGCATATTTCATTCTGCCTCTTCGTTGGCTCAGATCTTGCTATTTGGTCTGGCTCACTCCTGCCTTTCAAATAGTTTCACCTAAAAATTCTCCTAACAGCTCTTATGATTGGAGGCCAAAATAGTCAATAACTGAAATTAGCACTAGCTTTGAAATAGACAAAGATAAGCTAGTTTCCACTGAGGAAAGATTCCAGTGGGGTTCCTGGGGGCTCACTCTTGGTGGTAGTGGGATACTAGTTGTATGGAATCCAAAGCTAATCCATATGTGGGGTCTTGGATTTTATAGCCAATCAAACATCCCAGTGTTTCAGACAGGTAGACACTACTCTCCAAAAGGTAGATGTGGCCTGGTGCAATGGCTCATGCCTGTAATCCCAGCACTTTGGGAGGCCAAGGCAGGTGGATCGCCTGAGGTCAGGAGTTCGAGACCAGCCTGCCCACCATGGTGAAACCCTGTCTCTACTAAGTACAAAAAATTAGCCAGGCATGGTGGCACGTGCCTGTAGTCCCAGCTACTTGGGAGGCTGAGGCAGGAGAATTGCTTGAACCCAGGAGTCACAGGTTGCAGTGAGCTGAGATCACCCCACTGCACTCCAGCCTGGGTGACAGAGCAAGACCCTGTCTCAAGAAAAAAAAAAAAAAAAAAAAACAAGAGGTAGATGTTACAGTTAATGGAACATCATACAGCTTCATATCTCCTTTTTACTCAAGCTGGGGCCTGTGTTTGGTGTTGAACAAAATAGAATGCTGCAGTTATCTCTCTCCTGATTTTGTTACTACAGAAAGCTTAATGTAAAGGTGGCTGATACTGCTGTTTCCTTAGACACTGACACCAAATACAATAAAGAAGTCTCTCAAGAGGAAAACATGGTGTGTTTACAGGAGCAACTAACAGTTGGTTTGTAGGCATCCTAAATGGTGGATGGCAAGCTTGGGTTTCCCAAAGGTTTCTAGTCTTTATATGTCTTCTAGTAGGTGTCCAGGTTAGTATGGCTTGTGTTACCAGAGCAACAATGAAAATGGCTACATCTTTAAATCAGGCCACTTTACAGTGAACTATGATCCTTAATTGCTACCACATTTCAAACAAGAACTATGACCAATTAAACTTTACTGTTGTTGAACTGCCTATGTTGCCTGAACTTTGACTGGTTTAAGTTGGTTTCATTTATTTAATAAGAACACTTGTTAAGGAGTGCATCTTGGTATTTTGATATTATTCTCTTGATAGTCATAATAATAGTTCCCTAGTGTGCTGCATCCTCTCAAGTCTTAAATGTTTTGTATGCAGCCATACATTGAGAATTGAATGGTCTCACTTTGACTAGGTCAGCAAGAACATAGAGAATCATTCACCTAGTGTGAAGCTGTGACTTGTGAACTTCATAGTGACACCAGTAAAGACTTGTGAACTGGCTGGGCATGGTTGCTCACGCCTGTAATCCCACACTTTTAGAGGCCAAGGCGGGCGGATCATGAGGTCAGGAGATCAAGACCATCCTGGCTAACATGGTGAAACCCCGTCTCTACTAAAAATATACAGAAAAATTAGCTGAGCGTGGTGATGGGCACCTGTAGTCCCAGCTACTTGGGAGGCTGAGGCAGGAGAATGGCGTGAACCCAGGAGGCGGAGCTACAGTAAGCCAAGATCATGCCACTGCACTCCAGCCTGGTGACAAAGCGAGACTTTGACTCAGAAAAAAAAAAAAAAAAAAGACTTGTGAACTCCATACTGAGACTAAAAAGACTTGTGAATTCCATACTGAGCCAAATTACAATAGTGAGAGGGTGGCATCAATGCCTAAAGTTTCGGTCTATCTCTCTAAATTGAGAGTCTGACCAAAAGGGGGGAGTTGATAAATGAAACTCAAATCTGGCCTGAGGACGCCTTCACATTCCCATATTTGAGTTCTTAAGGGCGAACCGTAACGTAGTTAGTAGGTAGGCAGACTGAAAACTTAACTTAGGAGGATGCTTCTTTAGCAATAGCTGAGTCTCAGCCAATCCCACTGGCCATATTTCAACCACTCACAGGCAGCCAACTATTCGAATCATGCTCAGATAAGGTAAACACCAAGCTGTAAACAATCTGGCTGTTTCTGTACCTCACTTCCATTTTCTGTATGTCACTTTCCTTTTTCTGTCCACAAATTTGCTTTGACAGCACAGCATCCCTGGTGTCTGTCTGTATCTGCTGTGATTCTGAGGGCTGCCCGATTTGCAAATTATTCATTTTTCTTGCTCAGTTAAACTCTGTGAAATGTAATTTGTCTAATGGATTTCTTTTAACAGCACTTATAATTAAAATGGAAAGAGGGTGTAAATATTTAGAAAACTTGCAGCCTGGCCATGTGATAGACAAGGAGGAATCCAAGCAGCCTGCTGAGCAACTATTTGCTAGAGACATTAGCATATCTAAAAGGGAGCCAGGTGCTAATATTCAAGACAGTGGGAAAAGGCCTCAGAGGCATTTCAGAAGGCCTCTCCTATCACAGGCCCACAGGCCTAGGAGGACTGAATGGTTTCAGAGACCAGGCCCAGGGCACCATTGCTGTATGTCACCTCAGGATGCTACTTCCCACATCCTAGCTTCTCCAGCTCCAGCTTTGGCTCAAAGGGCCCCCGGTGCAGCTCAGACCACTTCTTTGGAGGGTACAAGCCCTAAGCCTTGGGAGCTTCCATATGGTTGTTTTTTTTTCTTTTTTTGAGACAATCTTGCCATGTCACCCAGTCTGGAATGTAACGGTGCGATCTTGACTCACTGCAACCTCTGACTCCAGGGTTCAAGCGATTCTGCTGCCTCAGTATCCCAAGTATCTGGGATTGCAGGCATGCACCATCATGCCCAGCTAATTTTGTATTTTTAGTAGAGATGGGGTTTCACAGTGTTGGTCAGGCTGGTCTGCAACTCCTGACCTCAGGTGATCCACGTGTGTCAGCCTCCCAGAGTACTGGAATTACATGTGTGAGCCACCATGCCCAGCCTTCCATATGGTTTTAGGTCTGCAGGCTTGCAGAACGCAAGAGTGAAGGAGGCTTGGGAGCTTCCACCTAGATTTCAGAGGATGTATCAAAAAGTCTGGGTGCCCTGACAGAAGCCTGCCACAGGGGCAGAAACCCACAGAGAACCTCTACAAGGACAGAGCCATGGGAAAACATAGGGTTGGAACCCCATACAGAGTCCCCACTGGGACATTGCCTAGTGGAGCTGTGGGAATGGGGCCAATGCCCTCCAGACAGCAGAAAGGTAGAGTCACCAGCAGCTTGCAACCTCAGCGTGGAAGACCCACAGGCATTCAATCCCAACCTGTGAGAGCAGCCATGTGGGCTGCACCCAGCAAAGCCATAGAGACAGGGCTGCTCAAGGCCTTGAAAGGCCACTCCACTCACCAGTATGGAGTTACGGAAGATGATTTTGGAAGTTTCAGATTTAGTGTTTGCCCTGCTGGGTTTCAGACATGTGTGGGGCCTCTTGCCTCTTTCTTTTGGCCAACTTCTCCCTTTTGGAATGGGAATGCCTACCCAATACCTGTAACACAATTATATCTTGGAAGTATGTAACTTGTTTTTGATATAACAGCCTCATAGGTGGAAGGAATTTGCCTTGAGGCTCAGATGAAACTATGGATTCTGGACTTCTGAGTTGATGCTGGAACAAGCTGAGACATTGGAGAACTATCAGGAAGGGATGGTTTCATTTTGCAATGTGAGATGACATGAGATTTGGGGGTAAGGGGCAGACCAATATAGTTTAGATGTTTGTTCTCTCCAAATCATATGTTGAAATATGACCCCCAATGTTAGAGGTGGGGCATAGTGGGAGGTGTTTCGCTCATAGGGGTGGATTCCTCATGAATGGGTTGGTGCTTTGTCCATGATAATGAATGAGTTCTGGCTCTATTAGTTCACATGTAAGCTGGTTGTTTGAAAGCACCTAGCATCTCTCTTGTGTGCTGTCTCGCCATGTGACACATCTGCTCCCCCTTCAGCTTCCAACATGAGTAAAAGATTCCTGAGGCCCTCACCAGAAGCAGATGCCTGCACTGTGCTTTTTGTACAGCCTGCAAAACCATGAACCAAATACACCTCTTTTCCTTATAAATTACCCAGTCTCAGGTATTCTGTTATGATCCCCTGGAAGAGTTATACTACTTCCAGGTCTAGCCCATGGTAAATCCCACACTCCCCTCTGAGGCCACCTTCTTCCCTCTGCAGAGACCCTGGAGTTAGAGTGGATTGGTTGTGTCTCTGGCCCCAATTCTTCTCCCGAGGCTGCATTCCACCCTTTTGCTATGTGACTTTGCAGCCCTTCTCACTGCAGAGACAGGTTCCTCTCCTTGAGTTTGGGGAAGATGCAACACATGCAGGGGTTTGAAAACACATTTGTTTGTTTCTGCTTTTGTTTTTGCTCCTCTGCAATTTCCTTGAAACCATGCCTGAGGTAGCCTGTGGGAAAACGAAACAGCACCATTGACCTAGTCTTTCAGCCAATCCCACTGCATTTGTACAATGCAGTCTGACACCAGAGGAACTGCCCAGCCAAGCTCAGGCAAAATTGCTGACTTCAGACTCATGAACTAAATAAATATTTGTTTCATTTGGTGGTTGTTCTTATGCAACATTATGCTGGCACTAGAAAAATGAAACAGATGGGAATCAAAAAGACTGAATGAAGCAGAAACCCAGAAGCTACCCCACAAGCAATCACATGGGACTCAGATGTGAATGGACAATAAGCTTTTATTGCATTGAAAGGTCATTGCAGTGAAAGGTTGGGGATTGCTTGCTGCTACAGCTGAATGGATTCTATTCTGACCAATACACACAGAAAGAGATCACAGACTCCCTACCTTAGAAGAAGGGAGGTGGTAGATGAAATGAACTGTATGAAGAGCCACTAGCCTGGCCCACACACAGAAGAAGGACTGGCCCGTCTTCTTGAAGCCCATGCTCTGGTAGAGGGCCATAGCAGAGAGCTGGATGGTGCCGGTGTCCAGGATAACTTCACTGTAGCCCTGGTCCCGGGCAAACTGGAGGACAGTCCTGACCAGGGCTTTTGCTATCCCCTGACGACGGTGCTCACTGTCCACAAAGAGATGAAACAGCTGCAACCGCTTCTCCCTCAAGGTGGGATCATCAACAGGCAGAGCTCCTACCATGCCCACCACCTTCTCTTCAGACTCAGCCACCCAGAAGCAGGAGCCACGCTCACTCAGGTAGGATTTGGTAATGTCAGACATGTCTGTGCACAATGTCATGTCCACATACTCCGTCCAGGGTTTTTTGGCAAGGAACCACAGGGCAGGGAAGAGGCTGATGCTGAACACGAGGGCTAGAAGCCAGGATCCAGAGACCAGGAGTAGGGCGAGGGGCCCCCCAAGTAAGAGTATGAGGGTTCGAGGCAGCTTCAGCAATTGCCGGAAGGTGGCTGGGGCATGCTCGGCCATCCCCCGGGAGAGCAAGCCCACAACCCACTGGCGGTCGCTCTCCTGGTATTTGCGGATGTGACAAGGAGCCATGGACAGACTTCTGTGTCTGAAATCTCTAAGTCCAGGAGACAGAGCTAGGCCTCCCTGCACGCCTTTACGTCAGACTGGGGAAGAGAGAGAAAATCATGTGAGTGCCTGCATGGCTCCCAGCCTTGCAGGAACAGGGAGACCTGCTCAAGGGTGTGTCTTTCCGCGTTTGCCCATGAGGAAGCAGGCCTCTGCCACTGGGAGAAGGTAGGGTCAGAAAGACCTGCATTGGAATCTGGTTCCATCCCTTTCTAGCTGTGTGACCTTAGGCATGTCACTTAACCTCTCTGAGCCTCCATTTCTTCAACTATAGAACAGGGGAGAAGAAAACCTGCCTTCTAGAGTTGTTTTGAAGATTGAATAAGATGCCTTCTATAAAGCCCTGGTAGATGAACTACCCACCGCTCTTCCTTTTTCTGTTTCCTTTTTCTGGCTCTCTCAGCTTCTCCGTGCATTGAGGGGGCACCTACCTCAGGCAGGCCACACGTGCAACCCTTTTGTCCTTCTCCAGGGACCATACATCGCAAAAATTCTCTGTCCAACACAAGTTTCAGGAAAGGCTCCCTCCAGCTTTATTGTAAGTTTTTAGGTTGCTGAAGTGGCATAAGAGCCAAGCATAAAAAACAGCCCAGCCTCCAGATCCCAAGGAAGGTGCATGCTCAGAGCACTGTCCTTCCACCCAGTCCCCTCACCTGTCACCACAAGAGCCTTGAGTGTCCAGGGAGCTTCAGCTCTCAGCCGCTCACTGGCATCCAGGAGATACCGTCTGGGGCTTGCTCACCCCTGGAAAGTAGACTGCCTGCCTTATTGCTTGGCTCCTGAATGTTTGGTAATCATCAACCCTAGGGTCAAAGAGCTGGGCTGTAACACAGCAGGGAGCCCAGTGTGCATTCCTCTTTGTGGTCAAAGGGAACGACCTGGAGGGGGAGACTCAGGGTCTGGAACCGCCTGGGTTCCTTGCCCTTCTGGAAGGCCTGCCACCTCTCTTGCCTGTTCAGGCCCCGTGCATCTCTCTGCCACCTGGCACACTTAGTACTCTCGGTCCCTGTCCACATATACGATCCACCCTGGTCCTTGTACACATATACGACGAGCCTGAGAACTGTACCATTCACCCTGCAATCAGTCACCATTGGCCAGAAGCCGAGTCCCCATGCTTGGCAACAAGGCCCTTCCCAGCTAGGCTTCTCCTCGCTGAGGTTTCCCTGGTCCACGAAGCATCTGTTGTTGGCAGTTCCTTGCACTCACCTCACCAACCCCCATCTCCACCCATTCATTGATTCAGTCAACAGTTGTGTGTCATGCACTTCCTGTGTCCTGGGGTCATTTCAGCCATGAGCAAGGTTGACATTCGGCTTGACAGGCATGGCTGTGTGTGGCTTGTGTGTGTTCTGGCTGTTGGTCAGAGGCTGTGCCACACCCGTTGTTAAATATTTTGCACTGCAGATGTTGGGGAGGCCCAAATTCATGCTCTTGTACCCGACGTGGAGCTGATCCCAAACACTGACACATGGGTGCTTGGAGATAGAGAAAGTTGTATTCGATTTGGCCAAAGCAAGAAGGCAGGAGAGCAAGATCTCTCAACTTCAGTTCAACAAAGAAGCAGCAGCAGAATGTTTTTATGCAGCTAGAGAGTGAGGAAGGGGGAGTTCAGGGGGATTGAGAGGAAAAGTCTGTGTTTCCTCAGTCTGAGATAACACCTTGTGCAACCAGGCTTCTCAGTGTCAGCAGCTGGTCACAGTGTCCTTCAAGGCATTCATTCATTCTGCAAACTTTTCCTGACCCTGAAGGAATGTCTTCCTGCTGAACAAAGAAACAGTACATGAGCAGTTTATCATTATGTTGTGGGAACAAGGAATATTGGACCAAAAGCAAGTGGTTAACATGTGCAAGCCAGCAACGGTCTGATCAGAATGTTCATTATTTCAGTCACTAAAACATGGTGTGGTGCTGAAATCTCAAGGGGCCCAATTACAAGGATGCAACATATACAAGATAGGCAAAAGCAAAACCTAACAGAAAAAGCCCTTTTCCACACCAACTTACATGCTATTGAAGGGAAACTTCCCTTCCAAAGATTAGCTAACCTATTGATGATCAGCCACGCTGGGCCCGTCATCTAGGTTAGGTAGTTTGGACTCTATTCCAAGAGCAAGGGGAGGACATTGATATGCACGGAGGGGAGGAGGTGTGTGTGTGTGTGTGTGTGCGCACGCAAGCATCACTCTGGCTGCAGGTGGACAATGGATCTGAGGAGGTAGGAATGGAAGCAGCTACCCCTCAAGGCTCATGCCACATCCAGGCAAGAGCGGGGCCTCCAGTACAGGGATGCAGGTGCTCACTGTACAAGAGCAGCTGGCCCAGAGGCTCTGGTGGGAGCTAAAACTGGGCCTCCCTCTGGTTGCCAAGCCATGAGCCATGGCACGAAACTGAGACTGGCCAAAGGAAAAGGCAACCTTTTCTTATTTGCTCAAAGGCGTTGCTTGCCTGCTAAACTCTGCATCCAGTGGGCTGCATGGCTTGAGGCTGTGCCTAGCTCTGGGTTCACAAAGAAGCCGCCTGGGTTAGCAGAGGCCCATGAGACAGCAGTGGCTTCACCAGAGGGAGGAAGTCAAGAAGGTGAGACATGAGCCGTATGGAGGTGCATTTGGGGCAGAAATGGCAGGAGTTGGAATGATTCACACAGGGAGGAGGATGAGGAAGGGCTCAGAGACGACAGCCAGGCTTCTGGTAGGGGCATTCAGGAAAACACTGGAGAGAGCCCAGATCTGGAAAAGTCAAGGCTTCCCCTAAAGGTGCTGCCCTGCAGCCTTCTTCAGCAGAAACCAGAAGCTGGGAGTCAGCAGCAGGAACCCAGGGCCAGCCAGTGGAGGCTGCTGAGATTCCAGATCTTTGGTACCCAACACCACCTCCGAGGAAAAGTCTAAGGAGCATCAAGTCTGGGCAGGAAGTCCATGGCTCATCTTTAGAGTGTTCTCGCAACATTTCAGTGTCAAGCAGGAGTTGGCCTAGGAATCAAAAGAGGTGAGCGGTGGCTCCAAAGCACCACTGAGTACTTCTAGTGTGAGTCTAACCAATATTCAGTCAGAAACCTGCCGGTCACGTGGAGGGGGAGAGGTTTGTGCTCCGTCCCTGTGTGCTGTCTCTCCCTCCATGCTCACCCGTGGCTGTGGCTTCCTCAAAACACAGCGACCTCACTTGACATTCAGGCGTCTCTTGCTCCCAGGATTTACTGTGACTTCTGCATTTTTGTAGCTTTCCTGATAAAAGCCTGGGCTTTCCTTGTCGGACCTGAAAGATTCATTTATTCATTCAACAAACAGTGGCCGAAGGCTTGTTATGTGCTGTGCCTGGACTTGGCATGAAGGCACCAGATGTCAGAAGCGAGGCTGCTGCCCAGGAGGACACACCTGATGGGGCTCTGGGACCAGGACGATGGTGGAGACATCACATCCGGAATAACTTTGTTAGGAAGGTGAACTTGACAGTTAGGACTTAGTTCTCCTTGAAGACGTCCTTCACATCCCTTGTGAGTTGGATTCCTAGGTATTTTATTCTCTTTGAAGCAATTGTGAATGGGAGTTCACTCATGATTTGGCTCTCTGTCTTTTATTGGTGTACTTGTGATTTTTGCACATTGATTTTGTATCCTGAGACTTTGCTGAATTTGCTTGTCAGCTTAACGAGATTTTTGGGCTGGGATGATGGAGTTTCTTTTGTGGGCATTTAGTGCTATAAATTTCCCTCTACACACTGCTTTAAATGTGTCCCAGAGATTCTGGTCTTTGTTCTCATTGGTTTCAAAGAACATCTTTATTTCTGCCTTCATTTCATTATGTACCCAGTAGTCATTCAGGAGCAGGTTCAGTTTCCATGTAGCTGAGTGGTTTTGAGTGAGTTTCTTAATCCTGAGTTCTAGTTTGACTGCAATGTGGTCTGAGAGACAGTTTGTTGTAATTTCTGTTCTTTTACATTTGCTGAGGAGTGCTTTACTTCCACCTATGTGGTCAATTTTGGAATAAGTGCGATGTGGTGCTGAGAAGAATGTATATTCTGTTGATTTGGGGTGGAGACTTCTGTAGATGTCTATTAGGTCTGCTTGGTGCAGAGCTGAGTTCAATTCCTGGATAGCCTTGTTAACTTTCTGTCTCGTTGATCTGTCTAAAGTTGACAGTGGGGTGTTAAAGTCTCCCATTATTATTGTGGTGGGAGTTTAAGTCTCTTTGTAGGTCTCTAAGGACTTGCTTTATGAATCTGGGTGCTCCTGTATTGGGTGCATATGTATTTAGGATAGTGAGCTCTTCTTGTTGAATTGATCCCTTTACCTTTATGTAATGGCCTTCTTTGTCTCTTTTGATCTTTGTTGGTTTAAAGTCTGTTTTATCAGAGACTAGGATTGCAACCCCTGCCTTTTTTTGTTTTCCATTTGCTTGGTAGATCTTCCTCCATCCCTTTGTTTTGAGCCTGTGTGTGTCTCTGCACGTGTAATGGGTCTCCTGATGGTCACACTGATGGGTCTTGACTCTTTATCCAATTTGCCAGTCTGTGTCTTTTAATTGGAGCATTCAGCCCATTTACATTTAAGGTTAATATTGTTATGTGTGAATTTGATCCTGTCATTATGATGTTAGCTGGTTATTTTGCTCATTAGTTGATGAAGTTTCTTCCTAGCATCGACGGTCTTTACAATTTGGCATGTTTTTGCAGTGGCTGGTACCGGTTGTTCCCTTCCAGGTTTAGTGCTTCCTTCAGGAGCTCTTGTAGGGCAGGCATGGTGGTGACAAAATCTCTCAGCATTTGCTTGTCTGTAAAGAATTTTATTTCTCCTTCACTTACGAAGCTTAGTTTGGCTGGATATGAAATTCTGGGTTGAAAATTCTTTTCTTTAAGAATGTTGAATACTGGCCCCCACTCTCTTCTGGATTGGAGTTTCTGCCAAGAGATCAGCTGTTAGTCTGATGGGCTTCCCTTTGTGGGTAACCCGACCTTTCTCTCTGGCTGCCCTTAACATTTTGTCCTTCATTTCAACTTTGGTGAATCTGACAATTATGTGTCTTGGAGTTGCTCTTCTCGAGGAGTATCTTTGTGGCGTTCTCTGTATTTCCTGAATTTGAATGTTGGCCTGCCTTGCTAGGTTGGGGAAGTTCTCCTGGATAATATCCTGCAGAGTATTTTCCAACTTGGTTCCATTCTCCTCATCACTTTCAGGTACACAAATTAGATGTAGATTTGGTCTTTTCACATAGTCTCATATTTCTTGGAGGCTTTGTTTGTTTCTTTTTACTCTTTTTTCTCTAAACTTCTCTTCTCGCTTCATTTCATTCATTTGATCTTCAATCACTGATACCCTTTCTTCCAGTTGATCGAATTGGCTACTGAGGCTTGTGCATTTATCACATAGTTCTCATGCCATGGTTTTCAGCTCCATCAGGTCATTTAAGGACTTCTCTACCCTGGTTATTCTAGTTAGCCATTCGTCTAATCTTTTTTCAAACTTTTTAGCTTCTTTGCGATGGGTTTGAACTTTCTGCTTTAGCTTCGAAAAGTTTGATTGTCTGAAGCCTTCTTGTCTCAACTCGTCAAAGTCATTCTCTGTCCAGCTTTGTTCCGTTGCTGGCAAGGAGGTGTGTTCCTTTGGAGCGGGAGAGGCGCTCTGATTGTTAGAATTTTTAGCTTTTCTGCTCTGGTTTCTCCCCATCTTTGTGGTTTTATCTACATTTGGTCTTTGATGATGGTGATGTACAGATGGGGTTTTGGTGTGGAGGTCCTTTCTGTTTGTTAGTTTTCCTTCTAACAGTCAGGACCCTCAGCTGCAGGTCTGTTGGAGTTTGCTGGAGCTCCACTCCAGACCCTGTTTGTCTGGGTATCAGCAGCGGAGGCTGCAGAACAGGGAATATTGCTGAACAGCAAATGTTGCTGCCTGATCATTCCTCTGGAAGCTTTGTCTCCGAGGGGTACCCAGCCGTGCGAGGTGTCAGTCTGCCCCTCCTGGGGGATGCCTCCCAGTTAGGGTACTCGGGGGTCAGGGACCCACTTGAGGAGGCAGTCTGTCCATTCTCAGATCTCAAACTCCATGCTGGGAGAACCACTACTCTCTTCAAAGCTGTCAGACAGGGACATTTAAGTCTGCAGAGGTTTCTGCTGCCTTTTGTTCAGCTATGCCCTGCCCCCAGTGGTGGAGTCTACAGAGGCAGGCAGGCCTCCTTGAGCTGCGGTAGGCTCCACCCAGTTCGTGCTTCCTGGCTGCTTTGTTTACCTACTCAAGCCTCAGCAATGATGGGCGCCCCTCTCCCAGCCTCGCTGCCACCTTGCAGTTCGATCTCAGACTGCTGTGCTAGCAAAAAGCGAGGCACTGTGGGCGTGGGACCCTCCAAGCCAGGCGCGGGATATAATCTCCTGGTGTAGTGTTTGCTAAGACCATTGGAAAAGCGCAGTATTGGGGTGGAAGTGATCTGATTTTCCAGGTGCTGTCTGTTACAGCTTCCCTTGGCTAGGAAAGGGAATTCCCTGACCCCTTGCACTTCCTGGGTGAGGCGATGCCTTGCCCTGCTTCGGCTCATGCTCAGTGGGCTGCACCCACTGTCCTGCACCCACTGTCTGACAAGTCCCAGTGAGATGAACCTGGTACCTCAGTTGGAAATGCAGAAATCACCCGTCTTCTGCGTCGCTTATGCTGGGAACTGTAGACTGGAGCTGTTCCTATTCGCTCATCTTGGAACTGCCCAACACTCCATCCTTATCTATAACCCAGCATTCTTCTATACCCCATAGAAAGCACCCCTTACACTCGGACATGCACAGGAAGGAAGCTGCTAATTGGAGGGAAGACTCACTCACACTGTCCCCAGGCTCCACTCCAAAGGTGGCCAGTGCAGCTCTTTCACCTCCATTACCTCCAAGTGGTGCTGTCACTCACAGTAAGCCCAGAAGAGCAGTCTGACCTCCACATAGAGCCCCCTCATTTCCACTCCTCACTGCTGGCTGCTGGCTCCACGGACCCTCTAAAACCACCCTTGGTAAGATCACCAGGGGTTTCCTAACTGCCAAGTACCAGTAATGCTTTATAGTCCTCAAACATGCTGAACGCTAAGGGAGTTCCTGCATTCATAAAGCTGCTTGCGGTACCTGGGTGCTATGGTCTGAATATGTCCCCCCTAAACTCCTATGCTGAAACCTCATCCCCAAGGTGATGGTATTCAGAGGTGGGATCTTGGGAGGTGATTAGGTCGTGAGGATGAAGTCTTCACCTATGGGATCAGTGCCCTTACAGAAAGACCCAAAGGAGCTTGTTTGCCCCTTCCGCCATATGAGGATACACAAAAACCGCCATTTATGAGGAACAGGTCCTCACCAGACATAAATCTACTGGCACTTTGATCTTGGATTCCCAGCCTTCAGAGCTATGAGAAATAAATTTCTGTTTACAAGCTAAATGTAAAGTGTTTACCAGTTTATGATAATTGTGTTATAACAGACCGTATGAACTAAGGCACTGGAGTCAGTCCAAGAGCTTAGATGTAAGGGAAATAAGATCAGAGCAGAGATGTGCAAGAGACTGGCTCCTAGCAGAGCAACTAAGAGTCAGGCAAATAATGTCAACTGAGGAGGCTTCTGGGTCCAGCAGCCACCCAGCTGCTTTAACACATGGCTCTTCATTTCCTATCCCCTTCTCTCCTGGTCTGTCTTTCCCTCTTTGATGGTTCTTTTTCAAGCTTTCATTTTGAGTGTTCCTCAAATGGAAGTTTTCCTCAAAACAGAAAAGTTCATATTTCCTTCCTAATAATTAATAGGAAAAAAATGCCAAATGGATAGAATGGACTCCGGATAAGAATGGAGAATTTTTTAAAGAAGAAGCAAATATGGTTTATGAATATATTTTAAAACTGTGCAAAAAAGAATATACAAAAAAACTCACTAGAAATCAAATAAATAAAAATCAAATTAATATCCAGGTTTTACCTATCATTGTAAAGAATTAAAAGAATGGTATGAGCTAATATAGGACAAGCACAAAGAAATGTGCAGACACACACACTTTTGACGGAATACTGAAATGGGAGATCCATGCTGGAGAATCATTACACAGCATGTCAAAATCCTTTTTTTAAATCAAAACAGAGTCTCGCTCCATTGCTCAGGCCAGAGCGCAGTGGCAGAGTCATAACTCACTGTAACCTCAAGCTTACAGGTTCAAGTGAGCCTCGGCCCTTGTCCTCCTCTCAAGTAGCTGGGCCTACAGGCACCCACCACCACATCTGGCTAATTAAAAAAAAAGTTTTTTTTAGAGACGGGGTCCTGCTATATTGCCCAGGCTGGTCCCTAATCCTTGGGCTCAAGCAGTCTTCCCACCTCAGCCTCCCAAAGCACTGAGATTTCAGGAGTGAGCCACCCTGCTCGACCTCAAAGTCCTTTGAAAAGACTTGATCGAAATTCAACTTCTAGGGTTAGAGCTCAAGAAAGTAACTGGTCAAATGTGCAAAGATGTTTGCATAAGGATGTTTATCACTGTAAAGTTTATTGTCATAGAAGCAACCGAAAGTGCAACAAGAGGGGACTGGCTGAATAAATCCTGCTCTATTTCTGTAGCACAGTACCTCACAGCCATGACCAATGCTGATGAGGGTTTACTGACATGAAAAACATTGCCCAACTATAGCACCAAGCAAGAAAAGATTATAAAACAATATGTTTGGATTTATTTTTGGAAAAATGGTATTGAAAAATGATATCCACAAACAAGCATGCAGAGAGAAAAGTCTGAGTGGTTCCACCAAATGTTGGTAGCAGTTACCTCTGAAAAGAGGAATTGTGGGGGATTCTCTGCATAAAAGATAAACTCTGAAGGTCTTTGCACATTCTAGGCACTTGGCCCTGCTTTCAGACAGTGAAACTGAATCTTGGGAGTCTAAAGGGACTCAGTTATGATTGTGAGCTCCTAAAGGTAAGACCCGTGTTCGGTTTTATTTTATTATTTCAATTAATCCTATTAATGTGCACAATTCAGTGGCATTTAGTACATTCACAATATTGTGCAACGACCACCCCTTTCTTGTTCCAAATCATTTTTATCACCGCAAAAGGAAATTCCTTATTCATTAAGTGGTTCCCCCTTATTTCCCTCTCTCCCCAGTCCCTGGCAACCTAATCTGCTTTCTGTCTCTATGGATTTATTTATTGTGGATACTTCATATAAATGGAATTGTACAATATCTGACCTTTTATGTGTGGCTTCTTTCAGCTGATGTTTTCAAAATTCATTCGTATTGCATCATGCATCAGTACTTCATTCCTTTTTAGGGCTCAATAATATTCCATGTATGTTTATACTGCACTTTGTTTATCCATTCATTCATTGATGGACATTAAGGTTGTTTCTACGTTTTGGTTATTGTGAATGGTGCTGCTGTGAACATTCAGGTACAAGCAGTTATTTGAATACCTATTATCAATTCTTTCGATGTATACCTAGGAGCAAAATTGCTGGTTCATATTTTAATCCTGTTTAACATTTTGAGGAAATGCCAAACTGTCTTCCAAAGTGTCAGCTGTAGTTTACTTTCCCACCAGCAGTGAACCTTATTTTACTCCACTGCCTGCCTCAGCACTACTGCCTAGAACATAAAGGGAAGAAGCAATAGCTGTTTTTTTACCAAGAAGTTATTAGATGCCCAGCACTGTGAGAAAGAGGGCTTCCCATGTTGTGCAATTTCATGTTAACAGCCTTGGAGCTAAGGTTGGTATTATTAACATCCCCATTTGGCAAATGGGAAACTGAGGTCCAGAAACCTGAGGTTTCCTCTCCACGGCCCCATATGGGAAGTGAAAGCTCAAACCTAAGGTAGCTCTGACTCCAAAGCCTGCACTGTTTTACTTTTTCAGTACAGCATGCTGACCCTGCAGGCAGGGATTTGACAAGTGTTTAGTGAGTCTGAAATTCACATAAAGCCTCACAAGCCCAGAGAAGCAGCTCTGTGTGGAGGCGCATAAGATTCACCAGTAAGGCCCCATCACCCCCATCCTGTTGCCAGTGGTCAGGACACCCTTGACCAAATTCCCATATGTGACTAAGGCTCTGTTCCTTCTTCAAGATCCAGTTTAGTGCTACCTGCTCCGTCCACTTCTGACCACCCAACCAGATGAATCTGGTCCCAGTCCCTCCCTCCTTGGAAGCCTTTGCATTTCTCATTAAGCACTTGTATTGCTGCCATTTGTTGCTTACTTAATAATTAACTTATCATAGTTAATTAGACTAGAAATTAACAGTTCAACTACCCTGATAAACTATTTTGTCTTTCTATTGCCTCTATGAACCTGATTATAATAAATCATTGTATTGTTGGAGTCACTGTTATTCCCAGAGCTGTCAGGTTTCAGAGCAGCGTGTCAGTGCCACCCCATGCCTGCATCCGGGAAGATCACTCCTCCACTGGACCAGCCCAGCCTGGAAAGGGGCCAGTGAGGCGGAAGGTGGACAATCCAGGGCCAATACATTCTGGGAGTCTCAGAGGAAGAGAAAAATCGATTCAGACTCATTTAACATAGGCTCCTGGAAAGGATATCATCTCCCCCAATCTCTCATCAATAACCCAACATCAGATCAGTGCCCTGGACTTATCATATGAAGCAGAATGAAAGTAGACAGATAGGTCATCCTTGGTTAGATGTCCAGAAATCCGAGGATGGTGGTCCTAGCTCTTCAGAGAGGACACGTTCTTTAACCTAACCTTTTAACAAATTCTCTACAGAAGATATCAGGTCCCAACATTTCAAGTAGCTTCGTAGATATAGGTAATCAAAGGACTAATTATGAAAGTGTAGATGGGTAGAGGGGAGCAACAAGGATGGCACAGGAACCCATAGCCCTGAGGAGGAGGGAGAGTTGTTGGAACCTGAAAGGACCTGGGCAGAGCAGGCTGCCCTTAGAGCAGGCCTGGGGCCAAGGCACAATCAATACCAAGCCTGCCTCACGCTCTCTTCCCTCCACTCCTCAACTTGCTGCTGGCTTTCAGAAAAGTTAAGAACTTGCCATTTCTACCCCTTTGCCATTGTTGTTGTCTTACCATAAGGCGGGGAGCAATATAGTATCCAGTTTTCTAGATATGGAAGTGGAAATCAGGTGTATATACCCAGTATATTAGTACCTATTAGTATTCTTATTGGTATTACTTTCTAGATGTTATGTAACTGTAGCTTTGGATTTTCTATTTAATTCAAAAGACATATAAGAGTTTTTTTTTTGCTAATTCCATGTTGGATTTATTGTCACTACTTATTAAGTTATAATTTTAATGTATTGTGATTAGAGATTGTACTGTGTTCTATTTGTGTTTTAAGGATACATAGAGATTTTCTTTGTGGCTAAATATAAGTAATCCATGGGTGTTTTAAAGAAGGTAGAGTTTCCAAATAGAGTATGACATTCCAGTCACTGTCAGATTCCACACAACATTTCAGTCAGCCACAGAACATATAAATGATAGCAGTCCCATGAGATTAAAATAGTATATTTTTCCTACACCTTTTCTTTATGTAGATATTTTAGATACACAAATACTTACCACTGTGTTAAAATTACCTACAATAGTCAGTAGAGTAACATGCTGTACAGGTTTGTAGCCTAGGAGCAATAGGCTATACCTTATAGCCTAGATGTGTAGTAGGCTGTACCATCTAGGTTTGAGTAAGCATACGCTGTGATGTTCACACAACAATGAAATCACCTAACAATGCATTTCTTAATATACATCTATTAAATCATTTTATTAATTAAATTATATTCTTCCTGAATATTGATTTTCTTAATCTGTCGAGAACTTCAAAGAGTATATTTTAAGTTAATTGAATATAGCTTTTGTTAATTGAATGGTTTTATATATATATATATATATATATTTTTTTTTTTTTTTTTTTTTTTTTTTTTTGAGAAGGAATCTGCCTCTGTCACCCAGGTTGGAGGGCAGTGGCGTGATCTCGACTTACTGCAACCTCTGCCTCCTGGATTCAAACGATTCTCCTGCCACAGCCTCCTGAGTATCTTGGACTATAGGTGTGCACCACCACACCCGGCTAAGTTTTGTATTTTTAGTAGAGATGGGGTTTCACCATGTTGGCCAGGATGGTCTCAAACTCCTGACCTCAAGCGTTCCACCCACCTCGGCTTCCCAAAGTGCTGAGATTACAGGCATGAGCCACAGCACCCGGCCTGGTTATATATATTTTTATTTTCGGCACATAAATATTAATGACATGAATATTAATGACACTTTTTTCACTGTGAATCATACCATAAATCATATAAAGTAACTTTTATTTTACATTTTGAATATGTTTTGCCTTTTATTCTACTTCATCCAATACAGTTTTATTAAATGTGGATTTGTACCATTGCTCTTTGTCCATCCTTTTACTTTTGGCTTTTCTGAGTCACTTCACTCAAGTGGAAGTAGCACCTACTTGAATTTAACTTTTTTCCCCCACCCAATTTGAAGGTCTTTTTTTGAAGTGAGTTCAACTTAAGTTCATTGTTGTAACAAATATGTTTGGTTTAAATTTTATCATTTCCCTTTTTGTTTTTTTTTCCTTTTCTGGTAAACTTATTAAGTTAATGTTTGTTAAACTAAATTCCATTTCAAACGGTGGGAAGGAGTAAAAAACACCTAACATAAAGTTTACCATCTTAAGCATTCTTAAGTGTACAGGTCAGTAATGTTAAATATATTCACATTGTTGTGAGACAGATCTCCAGAACATTTGAATATTGCAAACCTGAAACTCTATACCCATTGAATAACAACTTCCCTTGTCCTCCTCCCCCAGCTTCTGGTAACCACCATTCTACTTTCTGTCTCTGTGAATTTGTCGATACCAAGTTTGGAAGATAAGAAATATCTTTTAATTCCTGATTTTGTGTGATAAGAGAAATAAAATATCTACCCTTTAGTGACTGACTCATTTCACTTAGCATAAGATCCTTAAGATTCATCCATGTTGTAGCATGTGACAGGATTTCCTCCCTTTTTAAGTCAGGATAATTTTCCGTGGGTTGTGTGTGCCACATTTATGTATCCATTCCTCAGTGGATGGGCATCTGTGTTGCTTCCACATTTGCCTATTGTGAGTTGTGCTGCTGTGAGCATGGGTATGCTGTTAGCTTTTTAAGTCCCTGCTTACTGTGCTTTTGGAGACATACTCAGAAGAGGGATTACTGAATCAAATGGTAGTTCTAAGTTTCACCTTTGGAGGAATCTCAATACTGATTTCCAGAGCAGTTGTGCCATTTTACATTGCCACCAACAGCACACATGAGACCCATTTTATCTACATCCTCACCAATACTTGTTATTTTCTTTTTTTTTTATAATGACCGTCCTAGTGGGTGTGAGGTGATATTTCATTGTTGTTTTGATTTGCATTGCTCTGATGATTGGCGATATAGAGCATCTTTTCACATGCTTGTTGGCCATTTGTATATCAACTTTGGAGAAATGTCTATTCAATTCCTTTGCCCATTTTTGGTCAGGTTATTGATTTTGTTGTCATTGTTGAATTCTGAGAGTTATTTGTGTATTCTGTATATCAGAATCATGAGTTGCAAATATTTTCTCCCAATCCGTAGGTTGTCTTTTACTCTGTTGAATGCATCCCCTGAGGCACAACTTAAGCCTGGTGGTCCCATTTGTCTATTTTTGCTTTTGTTGCCTGTGCTTTTGGTGTCATATTCAAGAAAGCACTGCCATATTCAATGTCACAAAGCCTTTCCTCTATGTTTTCTTCCAAGACTTTGATAGTTTTAGGCCTTACACATAGGTCTTTAATCCATTTTGAGTTAATTTTTTTACATAAGACTAGAGTCCAACTTCATTCTTTTGCATGTGAATGTCCAGGTTTCCAAGCATCATTTGTGAAAAATCTGTTCTTTTCCCATTGAGTGGTCTTGGCACCCTTGTCAAAAATCATTTTGGCCAGGGACAGTGGCTCACACCTGTAATCCCAGCAATTTGGGAGGCCGAGGTGGGTGGATCACCTGAGGTAAGGAGTTCAAGACCAGCCTGGCCAACATGGTGAAACCCTGTCTCTACTAAAAATACAAAAAATTAGCTGGGTGTGGTGGCGCACATCTGTAGTCCTAGCTACTCAGGAGGCTGAGACAGGAGAATCACTTGAACCCAGGAGGCAGAGGTTGCAGAGAGCCAAGATCGTGCCACTGCACTCCAGCCTGGGCGACAGAGCAAGACCTTGCCTCAAAAAAAAAAAAAAAATCATTTGACCATATGTGAGAGTTTATTTGTAGGCACTTTATCATATTTCGTTGGTCTATTCGTCTGTCTTTATGCTACTATCACACTATTTTGATTATTGCACCTTTGGTAATATGTTTGGGTTTTCGGTTGTTGTTGATTATTTTGGTTTGTTTGTTTTTTGTAGAGATGGGGTCTCACTGTGTTTCCCAGTCTGATATCAAATTTCTGGGCTCAAGTGATCCCCCAGTCTTGGTCTCCAGAAGTCCTGAGATTACAGGTCTGAGACGCCGTGCCCAGCCAGTAATATGTTTTAAAATCAGGAAATGTGAGTCCTCCAACATTGTTGTTCTCTTTCAAAATTGTTTTGGCTGTTCAGGATGTCTTATGATTTTTACTGATTTCTTGCCATTTCCAATCTTTTTTGTTCATTACTATGTAATATATGCTTCTTATTTTATTTTATTTTTGGAGATTGAGTCTCGCTCTGTTACCCAGGCTGGAGTACAGGGGCATGATCTTGGCTCACTGCAACCTCCACCTCCCGGGTTCAAGCTATTCTCTTGCCTCAGCCTCCTGAGTAGCTGGGATTACAGGCATGTGCCACCATGCCCGGCTAATTTTTGTATTTTTAGTAGAGATGGGGTTTCACCATGGTGGTCAGGCTGGTCTTGAACTCCTGACCTCGTGATCTGCCTGCCTCAGCCTCCCAAAGTGCTGGGATTACAGGCGTGAGCCACCATGCCCGGCCATAATATATGTTTCTTTGAGCTGTTTTTCTGATAACTTAGCGGCCATGTAATCTAATTAACTAATATCCTTCAACCACTTTCTCAATCTATCACTCTCAGACACGAAACAGTATCTGTTGACTCTATCATATGAAAAATTAAGAAAGTGACTGCACTTCTCCCCACCTGTGCCCCCACATACAGACATTCCCCCAACTAACCAATAATGGTTATATTTTGTGGATTTTGTGTCAGCTCATTGTAGTAGTATTACTACATTGACTAGCTTTACTTATTCGTGGATTCTTGTAGGTTTTTAAGATTTTATACTATGCAGCCATAAAAAATGATGAGTTCATGTCCTTTTTAGGGACATGGATGAAATTGGAAATCATCATTCTCAGTAAACTATCGCAAGAACAAGAAACCAAACACCGCATATTCTCACTCATAGGTGGGAATTGAACAATGAGATCACATGGACACAGGAAGGGGAATATCACACTCTGGGGACTGTTGTGGGGTGGGGGGAGGGGGGAGGGGTAGCATTGGGAGATATACCTAATGCTAGATGACGAGTTAGTGGGTGCAGCGCACCAGCATGGCACATGTATACATATGTAACTAACCTGCACAATGTGCACATGTACCCTAAAACTTAAAGTATAATTAAAAAAAAATTGAACAAAATAAAAAAAAAAGATTTTAAGTCTAGTTACTTTTCTAGGGTATGTCTCAATGTAGGTCAAGCTCTGTTTTTTTATTAATTGAGATAAAATTCACATTCCATACAATTCTTTTTTAGTATATAATTCAGCATGTTTTTGTATATTCAGAAAGTTATACATCCTTCACCCCTAATTCCTGAACATTTTTGTCTCCCCAAAAAGAAACCGTGTGCCCATTAGCAGTTACCTCCCATTACCCTTGTTCTTGCACCCCCGCCTCGCCCTGGCAACCACTAATCTACTTTCTGTCTCTATGGGTTTGCCTATATGAGACATTCCACATAAATGGAATTGTAAAATATGTGGCTTTTTGTATCTAGCTTCTTTGACTTAACATGATATTTTTAAGGTTGTAGCGTATATCAGTACTTCATTTTTTGGTTTGCAGAATAAAATCCGTTACGTGGATTTACAACATTTTATTTATATATTCATGAATGGATGGATACTTGGGTTGTTTGTACTTTTTTACTTTCACAAATAATGCTGTTATAAATTGTTATAGATTGTGTACACGTTTTTGTGTGGACATAATTTTTTCAGTTCTCTTGGATATATACGTAGGAGTAGAACAGCTGGGTCATATGGTAACTCTCTGTTTAACCTTTGAGTAACTCCCCAACTGTTTTCCAAAGTGGCTGTGCCGCGTTATATTTCCACCAGGATCATATTAGGGTTTCAGTATTTCCACGTCCTCGTCAATAATTGTTATTTTCTGATTTTTGATTATAACCATCCTAATGAGTGTGAAGTGTCATCTCATTGTGGTTTTGATTTGCATTTCTCTAATGACTAATAATGAGAAGCACCTTTTTAAGTGCCTATTAGCCATTTGAATATCTTCTTTGCAGAAATTTCTATTCAGATCCTATGCTCATGTTTAAATTGGCTTATTTTTGTTCTTTTATTATTGGGTTCGACGTGTTCTCCATATATTCTGAACAGCAGTCCCTTATTCACTATGTAATTTGAAAACATGTCTCCCATTCTTTGGGATGCTTTTCACTTTCGATGGTATCATTTGCAGTACAAAATTTTTAGTTTTGACAAAGTCCAATTTATCTACTTTTGTCATTTGTGTTTTTCATGTTGTGTTTAAAACTATTGCCTAACCCAACATCACACACAAAAAAAGTTTACTTCTTTGCTTTTTTCTAAGAGTATTATAATTTTAGCTCTTAAATTAGGGTCTATGATCATTTTTTAGCTAATTTTTGTATGTAATGTGAGGCAGGGGATACAGTTTCATTTTTTGCATATGGATATCCAGTTGACCCCGCACCATTTGTTGCAGAGACTATTCTTTCTTCCATTAAATTGTCTGGGGTCCTTTGCCAAAAATTAATTGACCATAAATGTAAGAGTTTATTTCTAGACTCTTAATTCTATTTCATTGATCCATATGTCTCTGCAAATGCCACCACCACACCGTCTTGTTGTGGTGTTCTTGTGGTAAATTTTGATGTGTGAGTCCTCCAACTTTGTTTTTCTTTTATAAAATTGCTTTAGCTATTTATGGGTTCTGTGAACTTTAAGATCAGCTTGCCAGTCTCTGAAAAAAAATAAAAGGCAGCATGAATCTTGGTAGGGATGTCATTGAATCTATAGTTGGAATTGGGGAGTACTGACATCTTAAAAATATTAAGACTTCTAATCTATGAACATGGGATCTATTCCCATTTAGTTAAGTCTTCTTTCATTTCTTTCAACAATGTTTATAGTTTTTACTTCTTTGCAGTTCGGCACATCTGTCATTAAATGTATTTCTATATATTTTCTTCTTTCTAATGCCATTGTAAATGAATTTGTTTTCCTAATTTCATTTCTAGGTTGTTTACTGCTAGTGTATAGAAATACAACTGATTTTTCTTACATTGATCATAGATTGTACAAGCTTGCTGAACTTGTTTATCAGCTCTAATAATTTGTGTGTGTATATGTGTGCCTTAGGATTTTCTATATAGAATACCATGTCATCTTCAAATAGAGATGGTTTTTCTTTCTAATCTTATGCTATTTTTTCTTTTTCTTTGCTGATTGCCTTTGTTTGAACCTCCAGAACTATGTTGAATAGAAGTGGCAAGAATGGATGTCCTTGTCTTGTTCCTAATCTTAAAAGGGAAAGCTTGACAGTCATTAAGCATAATATGAGGGATGAGTTATTTGTAGATGCCCTTTAACAGGTTGAGGAAGTTCCCTTCCATTCCTAGTTTGTTGAGTGTTTTTACCATGAAAGGGTTTTTTATTTTGCCAGAAGCCTTTTCTATTTCTATTGAGCTGATTATATGTTTTCCCTTTATTCTATTAATATGGTGCATTATATTGATTTATTCATATGATAAACCAACCTTGCATTCCTGAGATAAATCCCACTTGGTTTTGATGTGTAATCCCGTTTCTGTCTTCTTGGATTCAGTGAGCTAGTATTTTTGTAGTATTTTACATCTGTAGTCACAAGGGATATTGGTCTGCAGTTCTGTGATATCTTCGTCTGCCTTTGATATCAGGATAATACTGGCCTACATAGAAGGAATCAAGAAGTGATCCTTCTGATTATGTTTTTTGTATGAGATTGTGAATAATTGGTGTTACCTCTTCTTTAAATATTTGGCAGAACTTATCAGTGAAGCTTGGTCCAAGCTTTACTTTTGGAGAAGTTTTCTGATTATTAACTCAGTCTTTTCTCATTATAAGCCTACTGAGATTTTTTATTTCTTCTTGAATCGATTTTGATCATTTCTTTATCTAGAAATTTGTCTACTTAATCTAGGTTGTCTAATATCTTGGTATATGATTGTTCATAGTATCCCCTCATCCATTCTTAATTTTAGTGATTTGAGTCTTCGGTTTTTCCTTGGTGAATCTAGCTAAAGATTTCAGTTTTTGTTGATGTTTTCAAAGACCAAACTTGGTTTCTTTAATTTTCTCTTGCATTTTCCTAATCTCTGTTTTATTTATTTCCATTCTAACATTTAGCATTTCCCTCCTTCTACTTATTTTTGTTTTAGTTACATAGAACTTTAGTTACGTAGAGCTCATCTTTTTCTAATTCCTTTTTAAAATAATTTCAATTTTTATTATAGATTAAAGGACACATGTGCACATTTATTACATGGGTATATTGCTTGACACTGAGGTTTGGGGTATAAATAATCCCATCACCCAGGTGGTGAGCATAGTACCCAATCGGTGGTTTTTCAGCCCATTCCCTCCTCCTTTCCTCCCATCTAGAAGTCCTCACTTTGTATTATTCTCATCTTTATGTATATTCAGTGTTCAGCTCCCGCTTGTAAGTGAGAACATGCAGTATTTGGTTTTCTGTTCTTGCATTAATTGGCTTAGGATAATGGCCTCCAGCTCCATCCATGCTGCTGCAAAGGGCATGATTTTATTTTATTTTTATGTCTGCACGGTATTTCGTGGTGTATATACACTACATTTTCTTTATCCATCCACTGTTGGTGGCCACCTAGGTTGATTTCATGTCTTTGCTATTATGAATAGTGCGGGAAAGAGCATGTGAGTACATGAGATTTTTTGACAGAATGAATTCTTTTCCTTCGAATATATACCCAGTAGTGGGATCGCTGGGTTGAACAGTGGTTCTTTTTCAGTTCTTTGAGAAATCTCCCAACTGCTTTATACAATGGCTGAACCAGTTTGCATTCCTACCAACAGTGTATAAGCATTCCCTTTTCTCTGCAGCCTTGACTGCATCTGTTATTTTTTGACTTTTTAATAATCAGAATTCTGACTGGTGTGAGATGTTATCTCATTGTGGTTTTGATTTGTATTTCTCTGATGAATGGTGATGTTGAGCATTTTTTCATGTTTGTCAGCTGCTTGTACATCTGCTTTTGAGAAGTGTCTTCCTGTTCTTTGCTCCCCCTACTTTTTTTTTTTTTTTTTTTTTTTTGAGAAAGGGTCTCACTCTGTCACCTAGGCGGTAGTGCAGTGGCACGATCTTGGCTCACTGCAACCTCCGCCTCCCAGGTTCAAGCAATTCTTGTGCCTCAGCCTCCTGAGTAGCTGGGATTACAGCTAATTTTTAAATTTTTAGTAGAGATGGGATTTCGCCATATTGGCCAGCTAATTTTTTAAATTTTTAGTAGAGATGGGGTTTCGCCATATTGGCCAGGCTGGTCTTGAACTCCTGGCCTCAATTGATCTTCCCACCTTGGCCTCCCAAAGTGCTGAGATTACAGGTGTGAGCCACCGTGCCCAGCCCCTTTGCCCATTTTTACAAATGGAATTATTTGATTTTTGCTTTTTAAATTTTTACATTTCCTTACAGATTCTGGACATTAGAGATTTGTTGGATGCATAATTTCCTAATATTTTCTCCCATTCTGTGAGTTGTCTCTTGATTGATCATTTATTTTACTGTACAGAAGCTCTTTGGTTTAATTAGGTACCAATCATCAATTTTTTTATTTTGTTACAATTGCTATTCAGGACTTAGCCATAAACTATTTTCCAAAGCCAATATTGAGAAGGGTATTTCCTAGGTTTTCTGCTAGGATTTTTGTAGTTTGAGGTCCTCCATTTAAATCTTTAATGTACCTTGATTTTTTTAAATATAGTGAGAGGTAAGGGTCCAGTTTCTTCTGCATATGGCTAGCCAGTTATCCCAGCACCATTTATTGAATACAGAGTTCTTTCTTCATTGCTTATTTTTGCCAATTTTTTGAAGGTCAGATGGTTGTAGGTGTGCAGGTTTATTTCTGAGTTCTCTACTCTGTTCCATTGGTCTATTTGTCTGTTTTTGTACCGGTACCATGCTGTTTTGGTTACTGTAGCCTTACAGTGGAGTTTTAAGTTGGGTAATGTGATGCCTTTGGCTTTGGTGTTTTTGCTTGGGATTGCTTTGACTATTTGGGTTCTTGTTTGGTTCCAAATGAATTTTAGAATACATTTTTCTAATTCTGTGAAAAATGATATGCTATTTTGATAGGGATAGCATTGAATCTGTAAATTGCTTTGGGAAGTGTGGCCATTTTAACAATAATATTGATTCTTCTCATCCATAAGCATGGAATTTTTTTCCATTTATTTGTCATCTCTGATTTCATTCAGCAATGTTTTATAGTTCTCCTTGTAGAGATCTTTCACCTCCTTGATTAGGTATTTCATTTTTTGTGGTTATTGTAAATGGGATTGTGTTCTTCATTTGGTTCTCAGCTAGAACGTTACTGATGTAGAGAAATGCTACTGATTTTGTATCCTGAAACTTTAATAATTTGTTCATCAGGTCCAGGAGGCTTTTGGTGGAGTCTTTAGGGTATTCTATGTAACTCATATCATCAGCAAAGAGAGATAGTTTGACATCTTGTTTTCCTATTTGGATGCCTTTCACTTCTTTCTCTTCCATAATTGCTCTGGCTCAGACTTTCAGTACTAGAAGTGGTGAGAATGGGCATCCTTGTCTTGTTCCAGTTCTCAAGGGGAATACTTCCAACTTCTGCCTATTCAGTATGATGTTGGCTCTATGTTAGTCATAGAAAGCTCTTATTATTTTGAGGTGTGTTCCTTCAATGCCTTGTCTGTTAAGGGTTTTTATCATGAAGGGGTGTTGGATTTCATGGAAGATGTTTTGTGCATCTACCAGGCTGCTCTGGGGTCCAAGGCCTATGGAGGTCCCTTGTGGACTTGAGTGTTGCCTCCTTATACACTCTGGGCAGGCAGCTCCCTGTATCAGTCTATATGCCTGGGGGTCAGGAGGAATCTCCCATCCCAGGATTGCACAGGTCCCCGCAGGAAGTGTAGATCCCCCAGGGGCTCTCACTCACTATGGAAACCATTTAGTTGCCCATAGTAATGTGGTTGAATTCTCTTTAACTGCCTTATACATGTTTATAAGTTGCTGTTTGAATCCCCTTCCCAGGACATGACTGGTAATTGTGTGTGGTTTGTATTAATTTTGTTCCTTGGAGCTTGGAGAAGCCAGAGAGGGAGTAGGTGATTCTAGGACTCTGTGCAACCTCCTGAAGTGACATTTTTCTCTGCGATTGTTTTAAAACTCACAAACTGATGGCTGCTTTAGCAATTGCAGGGTAAGGGAAATACCTAGTTCTATGGGACGTGCCCTTGAGGTTTTGCTTTTGTACTTCTTTAAGGTGGCTGTTGGCTGCTTTGGTGGCTTCCTAGTGTACAGTAATATTGCTGGGCCTGATTTTTTTTCTAGCAAATCTTCATAATGCAGCTAAGCTATTCAGATCTAAGAGATAATTTTCTAGACATTTTTCTGATTTCTTTCTGGCTAGAAGGAGTATATGATTAATCTTCATTCAAGCTGGGGCAGAAATGCTGTTTTCTTTTTTAAACAGGGTTGCATGTCTCTAGTTGAGAAGTTTATCTCTTACCTTAGTCACCTTTTCTGTCAAAAGTGGGCTATCCGTAGGGTATTTTGAATGTAATGACTCACCTTTCACCCTCTGTATGTATGATCCTTTGTGGAGAAAGAACTGTGTATTAGCTCTAAATTTGTGATATGAGTTGAGCCCCTTCTCTGGATTCTGAAGATTCTTTTCATGTTTTGTTTGTTTGTATATTTCAGTCATGGAAGAGGAGATTCATTATACCTGTCTATTTCCTAAAATCCATCACCTGTTTTCTCAGTGTTTCTCTCTCTCCTATTTACTCAGCTTCTCTGTATCTATAGGCTGCTTCCTCTTCACTGGAACCATGCTTTAGTCATTCCTCACATGGACTGGGGAGGACAAGTGTGACAGGATGGCTTCTGTTGATGTTTCTACTGCCTTACATCTTTCTCTTTATTACCAAATATGTAATCTTTTATTAAGTATAAAGATAAAAGGATAGTTAAATATAAAGAGTTCAACAACATAGAAAATAAAAAGGCCTTGTAATTCATCCGTAATTCTCCCCATCCTGAAATAGTCCTGATTAACATTTTATATATAATCTTCCAGTTTTATATTTTATGATTCACATACCTTGTTTTATTTTAAAAAATGGAATTATACCAGGTGATTTGAAAGTCTTATTTTCAACTTTTGTTTGTTTTGAAACTGTTCATTTAATATATCATAATAGACATCTTTCTGTGTGAAATACAGATTTATGTAGTCTTTTTTATTGCTTTATGAGTTCCATTGTATACTTATACTGTTTAATTAGTTCCCTAATAACAGATATTTAAATCATTTAAAATATTTCTTTTTTATTATTATTATACTTTAAGTTCTAGGGTACATGTGTACAACGTGCAGGTTTGTTACATATGTATACATGTGCCATGTTGGTGTGCTGCATCCATTAACTGGTCATTTACATTAGGTATATCTCCGAATGCTATCCTTCCCCCCTCCCCCCACCCCACAACAGGCCCCACTGTGTGATGTTCCCCATCCTGTGTCCAAGTGTTCTCATTGTTCAATTCCCACCTATGAGTGACATAGGTGTTTGTTTTTCTATCCTTGCGATAGTTTGCTCAGAATGATGGTTTCCAGCTTCATCCATGTCTCTACAAAGGACGTGAACTCATCCTTTTTTATCACTGCATAGTATTCCATGGTCTATATGTGCCACATTTTCTTAATCCAGTCTGTCATTGATGGACATTTGGGTTGGTTCCAGGTCTTTGCTATTGTGAGTAGTGCCACAATAAATATACGTGTGCATGTGTCTTGATAGTAGCATGATTTATAATCCTTTGGGTATATACCCAGTAATGGGATGGCTGGGTCAAATGGTATTTCTAGTTCTAGATCCTTGAGGAATCACCACACTGTCTTCCACAATGGTTGAACTAATTTACAGTCCCAACAACAGTGTAAAAGTGTTCCTATTTCTCCATATCCTCTCCAGCACCTGTTGTTTCCTGACTTTTTAATGATCACCATTCTAACTGTTGCGAGATGGTATCTCATTGTGGTTTTGATTTGCATTTCTCTGATGGGCAGTGATGATGAGCATTTTTTCATGTGTCTGTTGGCTGCATAAATGTCTTCTTTTGGGAAGTGTCTGTTCATATCCATTGCCTAGTTTTGATGGGGTTGTTTGATTTATTTCTTGTAAATTTGTTTACGTTCGTTGTAGATTCTGGATATTAGCCCTTTGTCAGATGGGTAGATTGTAAAAATTTTCTCCCATTCTGTAGGTTGCCTGTTCACTCTGATGGTGGTTTCTTTTGCTCTGCAGAAGCTCTTTGGTTTAATTAGATCCCATTTGTCTATTTTGTCTTTTGTTGTTATTGCTTTTGGTGTTTTAGTCATGAAGTCCTTGCCCATGCCCATGTCCTGAATGGTATTGCCTAGGTTTTCTTCTAGAGTTTTTATGGTGGTAAGTCTGACATTTAAGTCTTTAATCCATCTTGAATTAATTTTTGTATAAGCTGTAAGGAAGGGATCCAGTTTCAGCTTTCTATATATGTCTAGCCAGTTTTCCCAGTACCATTTATTAAATAGGGAATCCTTTCCCCATTTCTTGTTTTTATCAGGTTTGTCAAAGGTCAGATGGTTGTAGATGTGTGGCATTATTTCTGAGGGCTCTGTTCTGTTCCATTGGTCTATATCTCTGTTTTGGTTACCAGTACCATGCTATTTTGGTTACTGTAGCCTTGTAGTATAGTTTGAAGTCAGGTAGCGTGATGCCTCCAGCTTTGTTCTTTTGGCTTAGGATTGTCTTGGCAATGCGGGCTCTTTTTTGATTCCATATGAACTTTAAAGTAGGTTTTTCCAATTCTACGAAGAAAGTCGTTGGTAGCTTGATGGGGATGGTATTGAATCTATAAATTACCTTGGGCAGTATGGCCATTTTCACAATATTGATTCTTCCTATCCATGAGCATGGAATGTTCTTCCATTTGTTTGTGTCCTCTTCTATTTCATTGAGCAGTGGTTTGTAGTTCCCCTTGAAGAGGTCCTTCACATCCCTTGTAAGTTGGATTCCTAGGTATTTTATTCTCTTTGAAGCAATTGTGAATGGGAGTTCGCTCATGATTTGGCTCTCTGTTTGTCTGTTATTGGTGTATAGGAACGCTTGTGATTTTTGCACATTGATTTTGTATCCTGAGACTTTGCTGAAGTTGCTTATCAGCTTAAGGAGATTTGGGGCTGAGGCAATGGAGTTTTCTAAATTTACAATCATGTCATCTGCAAACAGGGACAATTTGACTTCCTCTTTTCCTAATTGAATACCCTTTATTTCTTTCTCCTGCCTGATTGCCCTGGCCAGAACTTCCAACACTGTGTTGAATAGGAGTGGTGAGAGGGCATCTCTGTCTTGTGCCAGTTTTCAAAGGGAATGCTTCCAGTTTTTGCCCATTCAGTATGATATTGGCTGTGTGTTTGCCATAAACAGCTCTTATTATTTTGAGATATGTCCCATCAATACCTAGTTTATTGGGAGTTTTTAACATGAAGGGCTGTTGAATTTTGTTGAAGGCCTTTTCTGCATATATTGAGATAATCATGTGGTTTTTGTCTTTGGTTCTGTGTATATGATGGATTACATTTATTGATTTGCATATGTTGAACCAGCCTTGCATCCCAGGGATGAAGCCAATGTGATCATGGTGGATAAGCTTTTTGATGTGCTGCTGGATTCAGTTTTCCAGTATTTTATTGAGGATTTTTGCATCAATGTTCATCAGGGATATTGGTCTAAAATTCTCTTTTTTTGTTGTGTCTCTGCCAGGCCTAGGTATCAGGATGATGCTGGCCTTGTAAAATGAGTTAGGGAGGATTCCCTCTTTTTCTGTTGATTGGAATAGTTTCAGAAGGAATGGTACCAGCTCCTCTTTGTACCTCTGATAGAATTCAACTGTGAATCTGTCTGGTCCTGGACTTTTTTTGGTTGATAGGCTATTAATTATTGCCTCATTTTCAGAGCCTGTTATTGGTCTATTCAAGGATTCAACTTCTTCCTGGTTTAGTCTTGGGAGGGTGTATGTGTCCAGGAATTTATCCATCTCTTCTAGATTTTCTAGTTTATTTACATAGAGGTGTTTATAGTATTCTCCGATGGTAGTTTGTATTTCTGTGGGATCGGTGGTGATATGCCCTTTATCATTTTTTATTGCATCTATTTGATTCTTCTCTCTTTTCTTCTTTATTAGTCTTGCTAGCGGTCTATCAATTTTGCTGATCTTTTCAAAAAACCAGCTCCTGGATTCATTGATTTTTGGAAGGGTTTTTTGTGTCTCTATCTCCTTCAGTTCTGCTCTGATCTTAGTTATTTCTTGCCTTCTGCTAGCTTTTGAATGTATTTGCTGTTGCTTCTCTAGTTTTTTTAACTGTGACATTAGGATGTCAATTTTAGATCTTTCCTGCTTTCTCTTGTGGGCATTTAGTGCTATAAATTTCCCTCTACACACTACTTTAAATGTGTCCCAGAGATTCTGGTATGTTGTGTCTTTGTTCTCATTGGTTTCAAAGAACATCTTTATTTCTGCCTTCATTTCGTTATGTACCCAGTAGTCTTTCAGAAGCAGGTTGTTCAGTTTCCATGTAGTTGAGCGGTTTTGAGTGAGCTTCTTAATCCTGAGTTCTAATTGGGTTGCACTGTGGTCTGAGAGACAGTTTGTTATCATTTCTGTTCTTTTACATTTGCTAAGGAGTGCTTTACTTCCACCTATGTGGTCAATTTTGGAATAAGTGCGATGTGGTGCTGAGAAGACTGTATATTCTGTTGATTTGGGGTGGAGAGTTCTATAGATGTCTATTAGGTCTGCTTGGTGCAGAGCTGAGTTCAATTCCTGGATATCCTTGTTAACTTTCTGTCTCGTTGATCTGTCTAATGTTGACAGTGGGGTGTTAAATTCTCCAATTATTATTGTGTGGAAGTCTAAGTCTCTTTGTAGGTCTCTAAGGACTTGCTTTATGAATCTGGGTGCTCCTGTATTGGGTGCATATGTATTTAGGATAGTTAGCTCTTCTTGTTTAATTGATTCTTTTACCATCATGTAATGGCCTTCTTTGTCTCTTTTGATCTTTGTTGGTTTAAAGTTTGTTTTATCAGAGACTAGGATTGCAACCCCTGCCTTTTTTTGTTTTCCATTTGCTTGGTAGCTCTTCCTCCATGCCTTTATTTTGAGCCTATATGTGTCTGTGCACATGAGATGGGTCTCCTGAATACAGCATACTGATGGGTCTTGACTCTTTATCCAATTTGCCAGTCTGTGTCTTTCAATTGGAGCATTTAGGCCATTTACATTTAAGGCTAATATTGTTATGTGTGAATTTGATCCTGTCATTATGATATTAGCTGGTTATTTTGCTCGCTAGTTGATGGAGTTTCTTCCTAGCATTGATGTTCTTTACAATTTGGCATACGTTTGCAGTGGCTGGTACCGGTTGTTCCTTTCCATATTTAGTGCTTCCTTCAGGAGCTCTTGTGAGACAGGCCTGGTGGTGAGAAAATCTCTCAGCATTTGTTTGTCTGTAAAGGATTTTATTTCTCCTTCACTTATGAAGCTTAGTTTGGCTGGATATGAAATTCTAGGTTGAAAATTCTTTTCTTTAAGAATGTTGAATATTGGCCCCCACTCCTTTCTGGCTTGTAGAGTTTCTGCTGAGAGATCAGTTGTTAGTCTGATGGGCTTCCCTTTGTGGGTAACCTGACCTTTCTGTCTGGCTGCCCTTAAGATTTTTTCCTTCATTTCAGCTTTGGTGAATCTGACAATTATGTGTCTTGGAGTTGCTTTTCTCGAGGAGTATCTTTGTGGCATTCTCTGTATTTCCTGAATTTGAATGTTGGCCTGCCTTGCTAGGCTGGGGAAGTTCTCCTGGGTAATATCCTGCAGAGTGTTTTCCAACTTGGTTCCATTCTCCTCATCACTTTCAGGTACACCAATCAGACATAGATTTGGTCTTTTCACATAGTCCCATATTTCTTGGAGGCTTTGTTCATTTCTTTTTACTCTTTTTTCTCTAAACTTCTCACTTCATTTCATTCATTTGATCTTCAATCACTGATTCTCTTTCTTCCACTTGATTGAATCAGCTACTGAAGCTTGGGCATCTCTCACATAGTTCACGTGCCATGGTTTTTAGCTCCATCAGGTCATTTAAGGTCTTCTCTATGCTGTTTATTCTAGTTAGCCATTCATCTAATCTTTTTTCAAGGTTTTTAGCTTCTTTGCAATGGGTTCGAACATCCTCCTTTTGCTCAGAGAAGTTTGTTATTACCAATCATCTGATGCTTACTTCTGTCAACTCGTCAAAGTCATTCTCCATCCAGCTTTGTTCCATTGCTGGAAAGCAGCTTTGTTGCTTTGGAGGGGAAGAGGTGCTCTGATTTTTAGAATTTTCAGCTGTTCTGCTCTGGTTTCTCCCCATGTTTGTGGTTTTATCTACCTTTGGTCTTTGACGATGGTGATGTACAGATGGGGTTTTGGTGCGGAGGTCCTTTCTGTTTGTTAGTTTTCCTTCTAACAGTCAGGACCCTCAGCTGCAGGTCTGTTGGAGTTTGCTGGAGCTCCACTCCTGACCCTGTTCACCTGCGTATCACCAGCGGAGGCTGCAGTACAGCAAATATTGCAGTACAGCAAATGTTGCAGCCTGATCCTTCCTCTGGAAGCTTTGTCTCAGAGGGGCACCCAGCTGTATGAGGTGTCAAGTTGTCCCCTAATGGGAGATGTCTCCCAGTTAGGGTACTCGGGTGTCAGGGACCCACTTGAAGAGGCAGTCTGTCCGTTCTCAGATGGCAAACTCCATGCTGGGAGAACCACTACTCCCTTCAAAGCTGTCAGACAGGGATGTTTAAGACTGCAGAAGTTTCTGCTGCCTTTTGTTCAGCTATGCCCTGCCCTAGAGGTGGAGTCTACAGAGGCAGGCAGGCCTTGTTGAGCTGTGGTGGGCTCCACCCAATTCATGCTTTCCGGCTGCTTTGTTTACCTACTCAAGCCTCAGCACTGGCGGACACCCCTCCCCCAGCCTCGCTGCCACCTTGCAGTTTGATCTCAGACTACTGTGCTAGCAGTGAGTGAGGCTCTGTGGGCATGGGACCCTCCAAGCCAGGCGTGGGGTATAATCTCCTGGTGTGCCGTTTGCTTAGACTGTTGGAAAGGTACAGTGTTAGGGTATGAGTGTCCTGATTTTCCAAGTACCATCTGTCACGGCTTCCCTTGGCTAGTAAAGGGAATTCCCCTACCACTTGCACTTCCCGGATGAGGTGATGCCCCACCCTGCTTCGGCTCACACTCCATGGGCTGCACCCACTGTCCAACAAGCCCCATTGAGATGAACCTCGTACCTCGGTTGGAAATGCAGAAATGACCTATCTTCTGCATCCCTCATGCTGTGAGCTGTAGACTGGAGCTATTCCTATTCAGCTATCTTGGAACCCTCCGGTGGTTTTGAAGTTCATCACTTTTTTTAGCTATCTCCAGGCCTCCTTATCTCACATGAAAATTATATGCAAGTGTCACTTCAGAATTTCCTTCTGAAGATGCATCAGACTAATGTTTGGCTAGCATTCTCTTCAGAGTTTTTCCAGGCCCAGTGAAAATAGCCAGGCTTTTTTTGTCTTACCACCTTACAACAAACAGCTTAAGTCCTATCCAACTACTACATTCTCCCAACACAGATACAAGGCAGCATGTTCACATTATCTCAAGCTTCCTCCAAATACATCTCAACAGTTAGAATTGGATTAGAAAGAGGACTTGTTGGCTTGCTTATCCTGTGGGTAACTGTGACATTGACTGCAGGTAATAATAACAAGATCTCTTTTATTTTTCTAGGTGGCAAACCATGTGATTTCTTCTGACTCTATTTCCTCTTCTGCCAGTAGTTTCCTGAGCTCGAACTCTACTTTTTGCAACAAGCAGAATGTACACATGTTAAACAAGGGCACACAAGCAGGTAATTACTTGAATCTGAACTTTTTCATTGAAATACATTGAAATGGCTCTTAAACATATAAGATACTCAACCTCAATCATAGTAAAGGACATGAAGTTAAAACTATATCCAACTGCCAATTTTCATCTTATCAGATTGGCGTAAATTCAAGTGTGATGGCAAGTTTGTGGGCAAGAGTGTAGGGAAGTGTGTTCCCTTGTATATTCCAGTGGGAGTAGAAGTTGGTTTACTGTGAAAGACAATTTGACAGGTCCTGTCAAAATTACTTTCACTCAGCATTTTTACCTTTGAAATGTCTGCTATAGATATACTATGAATATGTGGATTTTAACCTATAGATATACTTGCATATGTGCAAAATAGTGTACAAAATTAACCACTGAAACATTGTTTTTTATAGCAGAAGATTAAAATGAATTTAGGTATTCCTCAATAGCTGAATGATTACATAAATTATTGTATATCTGGATAATGAATGAAATTCTACATAGAATGAGGAAGCTCTCTCTTTACTAACGTGGAAAGATCTCCAAGGCATATAACTGATTTTAAGAAAAGGTACAGAACAGTGTATGGCATACTACAATATGAGTTTTTTTAAATAAAAGAAATAAAGGAGGGAAGAGAATTGCTTAAATGTGCAAAATGAATTCTCTGGAACCATATGGGGTTGTGAACAGAGTAAATGGAGACCAGAAGTGGGAAGGAGGATTTTTAGCTATTGCCTTTCTATACTTTTGGTTTCATAAAATAAAAATAAATAAACTTTCTTGATTTGTTTCTTCCCCTCAAATCCTGTCTTTACTTCTGTCAACCTCTTCCATACCTGGGTGACTACCAAAAGGACTCTAAGTATTTATTGTCTTTCTGCCTTGGGATCCAGGTGGAAATTCTTTACCCTTTGAACCCATATTCATTCTTCTTTCCCTCTCATACCTAAAATGACTTACAAATAAAACCCTTTCTTTTTTCTTCTCCCTCTTTTTCCCTCCTACTCTCCCCTGTCCTTCCTTCTTTTCCTCTCTCTTCCCATCACTCCATCCCACACAAAGGGATTGTATTTTTGAAACATTAAAAAGGTTCACATACTCACTTGAATAAACCTGTCAACTCAGCCTCAAGGTTACTCCCAGAGACACCTGTGATCCTTCCCCTCAGGTAACTTGGAGATTGTGAACGGTGCCGAAAAACACACTCGAGCCAACTCCAAGTTCCAGCGAGGCTAAATTGGAAGAGGACAGTGATGTGACTTCTTGGTCAGAAGAAAAACATGAAGAGAAAATGCTCTTTACCAGTTATCCTGAGGACAGAAAGTTAAAAAAGAACAAGAAGAATTCCCATGAAGGTCAGTTTCTCATTCCAGATCTTGTAGTAGAGAAACTAGTGAATTTCAAGTCCCCTGCAATGCTGACTCTGTGTTTCCAAGTGATTCTATGTGACCCCCACCTACCCCCAGTCACCACCTTGTCAGATTTTCGAAGTCCAGCATGGCAGTTACACAGTCATCCCTGCAGTGAAACCAAACTCAAGGGCACCCTGTGGCCGCTGACAGCTGAGACCCCTGAGAGCCTGTATTATATGCATCTCCTTGATGAAAGCCAGGTGGGGCTGTAAAAAGTGAAAATTCTGTTTTACTTCTAAAAACTATTTCCTGTAGGAGTTTCCTGGTTTGTTCCTGTGGAAAATGTGGAGTCTAGATAAAAAGAAGGAAAACATGCTCAAGACTCATGACCCTGGCATCTCCCGGTTGGAACCAGTAACCAAGACCAAGCCGTGGAGGGAGCCACTGTGGGAGCGGAACTGGCAGGGGCAGCACCTGGACAGTCGGGGCTACCTGGCAGGCCCAGGCAGAGAGGATGGCAGAAACCCACTGAAGCTGTTTGTGAGAGCAACCCTGCAGGTGCAGTGACGTTTACTTAACTTTAGCCCTACATGTAGGGAGAAGAAGGGTAAGGCGCAGAGAAGCTGGCTCTGTGACTTGGCGAGCTGAGGTGTAGGCCTGAGACGCTCTTTTCCAGCACCTCCGCAGTTCACCTGTTTTCACACGTGAGGACTGAGTTTCTCATCATCTGTCAAAGGCTGCCTTACTCTTAGCCATAGATGGTGCATCACTGTCAGGATCTGGAGACAAGGGCACAGGAGGGAGGATTTGTGGCTCTGCTCATTGGGTTTGTGGGTCCCTGTGTGTGGAGGGCCCAGAGGCCTGATGCTTGTGCAGCCTCATGCATGTTCCTCCATGTCCGCAGCTCCTGTTTCTGCTCCATGTCGGATTTAAAGGAAACCAAGTCTCTTCTGATGTGTCCCTCTGGGGATAAAGGAAAAGTTATTAATGATGTATTTGTTTGAATAGATCTTTAAAATAGCAGCATGGGCAGAGCTGTATTGCGTTGATGTTTCAGAGAGTTGTAATCGCCATAGTCTTAGTTCCTGGCCTATGCTGAAGGCATGTCTTTGATCCCTGTGGGTTCCAAGCTGCAGCTCTCCGCCATAGAGAGGTGTCAGAGGTTTCTTCAACTCTAGGTATTTTCTCGGCATTTGAATCAGGCTTCCCCAGACCTCTTGGGTACGTGGTGTGTTTCCAGCCATATGGAGAGTAGATTGCATCATTAATCTGAGGCTGGGTATTTTCTCTCTCTCTCTCTTTTTTTTTTTTTTTTTTAAGGAATCGCTTCAGTTTCACAGACCTGACTTCATCTCCCACATTGGGGAGCGGATAAAGCGTCTGAAGTTAATAGTCCAGGAGAGAAAGCTGCAGAGCATGTTAAAGAGCGAGCGGGATGCGCTATTCGACATTGACAGGGAACGGCAGGGCCACCAGAATCGCATGCGCCCACTACCCAAGAGAGGTACGCCCTGCCCGTTCACTTTCCTGTGAGTGGAATAGAGAAGGCAAGGTCTGCTGCTGTGCTGCAGAGCCCTGCTAAAGGCCAGCCCAGGCCAGTTACCTGGGCAGACAGCAACCTTTTGCTTGCCAAGACTCAAACCTTCTTAGCTAACAGAACCTCCCCACCTTAGCCGTCAGCACATTCATGATCCAAGTAAGCCCAGTTACTCTAGCCCTGTCACTGCATCTTAAACCAGCTCTGTCTGTGAGCAAGTTAGTTCCAAAAGTATATTGATTTTTCCTGAAAAGATGGGGCTGATTCCAGGCTTGCCTACCTCTTAGGATGGTAATAATGATAATAATAAACACATAGTCCTTACATCTTGCCCAGGCACTGTTCACATTAGCGCTTACAGCACTCTCAGTAGGTACTATTAATATATCTACTTTATAGTGAGAAAACTGAATCAAAGGGAGATTAACTACCTCTCCCAAGGTGACATACTCAGGTGTGCTGCTCTGGAGTCTGCATTCTTAACAATTATGGTAAGCAGATCTTGATAAAATAATGAAAGCTGTGAAAACTACAAAGTACTATCTAATTCTTTCATCAAGCCTTACCTGGAAACTGGCCAGTTTTTTAATTCAAAGCCTAGTCTTTGCTACAGAGTGTTAGGTCCTTAGGGCCTTAGGCTGCTGTCCTGTTACCCTAGTCTAACCCTGGCTTGCCTTGGTCATTGCTCCCCACTCAGTCTTGCCAGCTCAGGGTAGGGGCACCAAGTCCTAGCAGCTCCCTCTCCCAGCTCTTGCACCACACCCTCTGGGTTAAGTCACTGTCCACTGAAAACCCTTTCTTCTCTTCCTTAGTCTTCCTGGCTGTCCAGAAGAACAAGCCTATCAGCAAGAAGGAAATGATTCAGAGGTCCAAACGGTAAGACCAAGAAAACAAGAGTTTGTGTACAAGTGTTAACCAGGCCACCAAGTGGTCAGGAGCTCTGGCTTGCACCCAGAATAAAGGCATTATGCTCAAATTTAAACATTATGAGAAAGTTGTGAGAGTCATTTCTCACTTATGGCACTGAAAAAAAAAGTAGCACATCATGGTATGAATGACTCATATGCAAAAGATGAAAAACTTCTCATTAATTTGCATATCTTAGGCTCCTCTTTATTAACCTAAATGTAAATAAAGAATATTTTAGGCCAGGTGCGGTGGCTCACGCCTGTAATCCCAGCACTTTGGGAGGTCAAGGTGGATAAATCACTTGAGGTCAGGAGTTCGAGACCAGCCTGGCCAACATGGTGAAACCCCGTCTCTACTAAAAATACAAAAAGTAGCCGGGCGTGGTGGTGCACGCCTGTAATCCCAACCACTCAGAAAGCTGAGCCGGGAGGATCCTTTGAACCTGGGAGGCAGAGGTTGCAGTGAGCTTAGATGGCACTACTACACTCCAGTCTGGGTGACAGAGCGAGACTCCATCTCAAAAAAAAAAGATTATTTTAAAATAAAATTAAATATGTATTTGGGTTATTATACCTTTTATCTTAGCAATCCCATTTCTTGGAATTGATCCCATAGGGTGAGAAAGAACAGTGTTCTCCAGAACATATTAAGTTAAACTTTTTTAAAAAATTAAATTTTCGAAGTATGTCAACACTGTTTCCATTTGTGGTCTTTAAAAGTAAGTATTTGTGCCTATGTAGACGTGTATACTTTTATATGCATAGAATATTTCTGGAAGACAGAAAAACCTGATAATACTGATTGCCTTTGGAAAGGAGAACTGATGTAGGATGTAGTAGATTTTTTGACTTTTTGAATGTTGTGTCATGAGGAACGAACATTAGTTACTCATAAATTAATTCATTTGAGTGTTGGATGTGGTGGTACATTTCTGTAATCCTACCTACTCAGGAGTCTTAGGTGAGAGAATCTCTTAAGCCCAGGAATTTGAGACTGCAGTGAGCTATGATCACACCATTACGCTCTGGCCTGGGTAACAGACTGAGACTCTGTATCTAAAAAATAATAAATAATATTTTAAAAAATTAATTCATTTCAGATATTGATATATTGATCATGGGAATGCCAGAGAATAAGTTAAGGTTGACTTTTTTAGGTGTTCATTAGAGACTTGCTTTAATGAGAATAGTTTCTTAGTTGGCATAATGCTTCTGAAGTAAAGGTACTTTAAAACAGTTTATCTTACGGACTTTAAGCATTCCTCTTGAAATCTTGTTTTTACTCTTTCTAGTCAGTCTTTATAGGCAATCCAAAGGGATGCTTTGGATGCTTTAGTCCAGTGGTTCTCAGAGAGTGGTCTGTGGAGTCCTGGAAGTCGCTGAGACCCTTTCAGGCAATTTGCAAGGTCAAAACTAATTTCAGAATGACACCAGGATGTTCTGTGCCTTTTTTGCTGTGTTGGCTATTTGCACTGATGATGCAAGAGTACTGGGAGAGGAGTAAAACCATTGGTGTCTTACCACTATTCAAGACGGTGGCACCAAACCGTACTAGTCTAATAGGCATTGTATCCTGCACAGCCTCCCGCCAGGAGTGTGATGGAAGAACAAGGAAGCAGTGTAAATGGAGGTAAACGGGAAGCACTTCCTTTGCACCGTGAAAGATGATGACTGTTTCAAGGAAAAGCACTTATGCCATGGTTTGTGTCGTGAGCTGAACCAGCTGCCTTTGTCATGGAACATGACTTTTAATTGAAAGAGTAACTGACAGAAAACCAATTATTCTGACTTGTGTTTAGCAGACATTTTCTTGAAAATGAAGAAGTGACTCTCTGACTTCAGGAAAATGTCTGACAGTATCTGTTGCCAAAGAAAATGTGAGTTTTCAAGCCAACAATAGAATTCTAGAAAACTTGTATTCACCACCATGGGCTTGATGACATCTTAGTACTTAGACCTTTCTGACGAGATAGCAGTGACATTAACAAATGTGACGTTTTTCATGTTATCTAAATACATTTGTCAACATTTGGAAGATCTGCACAACTCCCTGGACCAGGATTTTCCAAATGATTGTTGCTTTTTGTTACAAAATCAGGGAATAGATAGAAGATTCAAATAGTACAAGATAGACTGATGGATTTTTATGTAACAGAATAGGAAAAGTTTGCTGACATGCTTTCAGATTCCACCTTGCAACTAATTTTTAAGAAACTACCACTTGTCAGCCAGGCACAGTGGCTCACGCCTCATAAAATGAGTTGGAATGAAGTTTTTCTTTCTTATTCTCTAGAAGAATGTAATGTAATTTATTGCTTAAATAATTAGGAGAATTCACCAGTGAAACCCATCTGGGCCTGGATTTTCTTTTGTGGGATTCATTTTTTTCAATAACTATTCAGATTTCAGTTTTTCTTTTATGCCAAGGTTTAGTAAGTTGTGTTTTTTACGTAATTTGTTCATTTCCTAGAAATTTACAAATTGATGATCCAATGTTATAATATCCTTTTGTTATCTTTTTTTTTTTTTTTTTTTGAGACGGAGTCTCGCTCTGTCGCCCTCAGGCTGGAGTGCAGTGGCACGACCTCGGATCACTGAAAGCTCCACCTCCCAGGTTCACACCATCCTCCTGCCTCAGCCTCCCGAGTAGGTGGGACTACAGACATCCGCCACCACGTCTGACTAATTTTTTGTATGTTTAGTGGAGACAGGGTTTCACTGTGTTAGTCAGGATGTTCTCGATCTCCTGACCTCGTGATCAGCCCTCTTCGGCCTCCCAAAGTGCTGGGTTTACAGGCATGAGCCCCCGCACCTGGCCCTTTGTTATCTTTTTAATGTCTGGACGTTCTAGGATCTGTAGTGATGTTCCGTTTTTATTCCTGATATTATTTTTGCCTCCTGTCATTTTTACCTGATCACTCTTTCCAAGGGGTATATAAATTTCACTAGTATTGTCAAATAACCCACTTTGGGTTTTATTGATTTTTCTCTATCGTATATTGGTCTTATATTGATTTTTTGTTGTTTATTTTGGGGCCGTAGCAGGAGCCACAGCCAGCTCCACATAGTTCAGAGGGCCTGGCAAGTATGGAGGAAGACCCTTGCTTTCCCCTGGAGGTGCTGAGAGTTTAATTCCCGAGGAAGTAAGGGGATTATTTCCCTGTATTGGCAAAGGTTCTAGTTTTTGAGTAGAACTAGAGGACCTCACTTCTCTTGAAGGAGAAGTAGAGAGGCTCCTCCTCATTCCCTTCCCTACAAGTCCCCACGTGACTGATTCTTCCTCTCCAGGGGCTTCTAGAATTAGCAACATTGTTCCCTTTGATCCTTTGGCTGATTACATATCCTGCATTTCTTCTGTAGGGCTGGGTGTTGATAGAGGGCCATAAGACATTATACATAAGGTATTTTATCCCATTTACCTTGTTTCTTACAAAATAAGTCCCAGTTGGAGAATTGTAGTATTAATGTATGTAAGTAACTCATGTTCAGACCATCTCTCTTGATTCCGTAGGGAACACTGGGGCCATATGGTATTACAGTAATATATCATTTGCTTTTTGGTCATGGATATGGGTATCCAAATAGTTTCCAGTGCTGGAGGAGGCACTGTAACGGGCTCTCCTCCAGTATTGAGACCTGGTTCCCCATATTCTAGGGTCTTTGCCCAGAAGGCTGATTCCACCCTCCAAGAAGCTTCCACTGGGGATTAGTGATGACACAAATCCTGTAACTCTTAGCCTGTAGGATATTTCTGGTCCTTTCAGCTTGCTGCTACACGCAGGCCACTATGGAGTGGAGGTGCTGGGAAGCTAGGAGAGGACAATAGGGGTTGCCTCTCCCTGGATCATGTTCAGTCTGGGTAGCTTCCCTGGAAATCTCATGGAGATTCCACAGTAGTTCCGGATCCAGCTTGAGTGGTGGGAGGTATGTAAATCAATCAAGTAAGCAAGGTGTTCTTTCTGGAGAGGGTGCACACTCTGCTCATGTAAAGTCTACATCACTGTATTTTGGTTCCAGGAATTCCCACCCAAACTGCCCCATTCTAAATTAGGCCTCTTCAAATCAATAACAGTTCTTCTGTGACTGCTGGAATATGGAAGCCCAATATTTTAGGGATTACCACAGACTAAGGAGAAGGGAATCCAGACTTCACATGCATTCAGGCCACAAAGAAACACAAGTATTGGCAAAAGTGACAAGCATTCAGCCTACAGATATACCAGACAGGGACAAAGTCTTAAAGATGAGAGTCCTCGTCTTTATATTAGGGCTTCCCCTGTTAAAATGGATGGAGACATCTCTCAACTCCTAGACCTGAAGGGGAGTCCTGCCCATTCCCAACAGTCCTGGATCCCTTGAGCTAGGTCCTAAACCTGACAACCCAGAGTCCTAATAATCAAAACCAAAACCACTCTTTTAGTCAGTTCACAGAACCACCACCACTTACTGCCTCAAAATTGCACCAAATGAAAGGTCCAAGCAGCCACTTCTGCTTTCCTGGTGGGCTGGGGGGATGGGGTTGGCATGCCTGAGGCCCTTCACCAATCTCCCTCTTGGCAACTTAACCCACTCATGCTTCCTCAGACTGCTGCTTCGCCTGTAAGCAGCCTATAAGGGAGGTCGAGTCAGGGCTCAGTCCATAGTCCCATCTGGATCAACCAGATTTGTTTCCCAGGCCCTCCCACCCCACTGCCTCCAAAAAAAAAGCGGGGTTTGTTTGCCTGGTGAGTAACAAAAGTCGCTGAGAACACAGACTTTGATCAATAGGAGTTTTATTACTTGTCACAAGTAGGAAGAGCTCTGGGAATATTCGTCAAAGCAGTGTCTCCTAAGAGAAAATGACAGGAAGGCTTTATAGAGTGATCGAGAGGGGAGAAGGTGCATCATCACATGAAGAGGAGGGGTCCCAGTGACACAGATGGAGGGAGTCATCGTGCCACCACATAGGACGCATGCTATGGTAATGAAACTATAGCTCTCCCAGGGTGCAGGATTTAGCATTGTAATGAGGAAAGTTCACTGTAAGTGAGTTCATCTATAAGTTGCTGGGGTCTGTCAGGAGCAGGTTCCAACTGACTAGGTGACCACATTTCACACAGGGTTTGAGACAAAACCGTCTGCAAGGCAGAAGGCTGTAAAACGGGCTAATTGCTCAAATTCATTAAATTCCTTCACTCCCTGGGGGCCCGCCCTGTCTTGTCTATATAGCCAGTCCTTAGGAAGTGAGGCCAAGCTGAACTGTTGACACAGTCTATGTCTTTACGAGTCTGGGAGCTGGGTGATTTTACCTCTGATGCTAGACTTATTTTTACTGGTTTTGAAGCCTTGCTTACAGCCCTTTCCCAGTTTCTCACGAAATACTCATGAAAGGGGATGGTGGGGAGTGGGCATGGGGAAAAGGGAATGATATTAAAATTAAAGCTAACATCATTGGCCTCTAGGGGGCACTCATGGCTCATCTCCATAGCCCTTGGCTCTTGCAGCTGCCCAAGATGAGAGTCCTGATCTAAGGAAACTCCACCACCACCAAGGCTGGGGTGGTGGCAATGGGGGCATTATTTTCCAAACCTGACTAGGCTACATTTTAAGGGGATCATAGTCACAGAGAACATAGATGTGGACTATTAATTTTCTTTGCCTGAGCAGCCGTAGCCCTATGTGCTCCTCTCCAGCCTTTCAGGGAGCTATGATGGGCCAAAAAATGCTCAGTAGCCCAAGCCATCTCCTCCATAGACACTGGAGTAAAATCTCTGCCTATGGGTGTGTGTGTCTTGTCTTACTCTATCCTGGATTTGTTTCCTCCAATGCTGGTGGCTTTACTTTAGATAGTCTGATTGTTGCAGAGATGAGACCCAAGGCTCCACTCTGGAGAAAATAGAGCCCTCTTGAGAGGTCAGCCCAACTTGCTAGACTTCTGCATGGGGCTTGGGGTTCAATGTTCCAGCCTGTCCCCAAAAAGTCATGGCCAAATTCACATATTCCTTTGATCCCTGATGGTGTCTCATCACACAGTTCGTCTGGCCTCACCATTGCTCCACTAAGTCCAGGAACCTCAAGGAACTATGAGACAGGTAGGGCTAGACTTAACAAAATGGCTATCACAGTCTTCATTTCATGAGACAGAGGTGAACTGAGAAAAGGTGGAAGGTGCTTCAGAGACTTCTCTGTATTCATCCCTAACTTAGGCAGAGAGCCTTGGCCACACAGGAAACTGGGGAAGACCCCTCTCTTACTCAGGAGTCCCCCACACTGGTGCCATCTTATGACAGGCAGGCATCAGCTTCAGAGCCAGTCAAACAGTTAGGAATAGCAAACATTGCTCCAGAATTTGTTGGGGTTTTTTTTCCCCTGAATTTGATAGTAAGCTCCACATAGGCAAGAATGACAACCATCTTGTTCTCCTTGTTTCTCTGGAGTCTAACACAACATGTAGCACGTGGTTGGCCCAATAAGAATTTGTCGAATGGGGGCCAGATGTGGTGGCTCATGCCTGTAATCCCAGCACTTTGGGAGGCTGAGGTGGGAGAGTCGTTTGAGGCCTGGAGTTCAAGATCAACCTGTTCAACATAGTGAGACCCCTATCTTCTTTTTTTTTTTTTTTTTTTTAAAGTGGAGTTTGTTGAATGGCACACAGAAAATAAACAATCCAAATGACAGATCAGAGGTGCTGGAAAAGACCAGGGAGATCTAATCGTTAAATCACGTCATCTAAATATTAAGAGGAGACATTTGGACATCTGATAGAATTTGGCATTGAATAAGTGATAAATACACAGAAAACTGAACAACGGCAAAAAGAAAAGTATCAGTTCTAAGGGAAAAGATACAAATCAAAAGCCTTCAGGAAAGGATAAGTCATCATGGCTTACTGTATAGCTTAGCTTAAAATAACACAGAATAGTGAAGTAGCCCAAAGGGCCATCTAACCACACTGGGAAGCTGAGCAGGGGAGGAGTGCGTATATGCATGGAGGAGACTTGTCTTCACCCTCCTCAGCAGCTGACAGCAGGCAGGCTAGACCTGGACAATGGAGCAGGAGTCACACAGCCTGTGAAAGAAGTGCTGGGGAATGTAGGGGCTGCTGTTTCACATGACAGAGCCATTGAACCCTGGCTGTTTATAATAGTTACATACATAATTTTAATAGAAATAAAAACCAAAAAGAAAAAAGACTTAAACATGAAAGGCAAAACCATTACAATTTTTAGAGGAAAATATAAGAGAGTAAGAACAGAAAAATGTCTTAAGGCACAAAGTGCTAACCATAAAGAAAAAGATTGATAAATTCATCTTGATAAATTTTTTGTTTATCAAAAGGCACCATAAAGACAGTGAAAAGACAAGGCACAAAATGGGAGAAGATAATTGCAGCACATCTGACCAGCAAAGAATTTGTATCCAGAATATATAAAGAACTTCTATGAGTCGGTTTTTTAAAAACACAATTTATATTTAAGTCTCTTTAAAACAAATAGACAATTCATAGAAATATGGTGATATGGTTTGGCTGTGTCCCCACCCAAATCTCATCTTGAATTGTAGCTTCCATAATTTCCACATGTTGTGGGAGGGACCCAGTGGGAGGTAATTGAATCATGGGGGCAGATTTTTCCCATGTTCTTGTGTTAGTGAATAAGTCTCATGAGAGCTGATGGTTTTATAAAGAGCAGTGCCCCTGCACACCCTCTCTTGCCTACCACCACATAAGATGTGCCTTTGCTCCTCCTTCACGTTCTGCTGTGATTGGTCCGCATCCAAATGTCATCTTGAATTGTAGCTCCCATAATCCTCATGTGTTGTGGGAGGGACCTGGTGGGAGGTAATTGAATCATGGGGGCAGATTTTTCCCATTTTCTTGTGATAGTGAATAAGTCTCATGAGAGCTGAGGGTTTTATAAAAGGCAGTTCCCTTGCACAAGCTTTCTTGCCTACCATCATGTAAGATATGCCTTTTTCATTATAAGTTACCCAGTCTTGGATATTTCTTCACAGTGGTATGAAAATGGACTAATACACATGGGCTAAACTCATGAGCAGGCAACTTTATAGAAAAACACAAATAGCCCATAAACATAAAATGTAGATTGAGTTCATTATTAATTAGGGTAATGCATGTTATGGATAGAATAAAATACCTTTTTACATTCACTGGATTGGCACAAAGTTTTGTCTTTGTGCCACTCTAAATGTTGACAGGGATGTTGATCAACTGGAATTCACACACTGCTTGAGGAAGCTTGCATTCACTCTATAATTCAGCATTCTGAAAAGTGCTCACCAATAATCAGCCCAGGAAGGTTCACAAGGACATCTTCACCAAATATGTCCTTTCACCCTAGCAAAGAACTAGAAACAACTCAAGTGTCTTTTGACAAGAGAATGAGTAAATGGCAAGTGGTATGTCACGCAAAAGAATTCTAGACAGAAGAGAAAATTAAGGAACATCAAACTTAGTGAATCTTTGAGACGATGTTGAGTAGGAAAAAAAATTCAGAAGAATATATTGTATGATACTTTTATCATAAGGTTTAAAAGCAAGCCAAGGTAAACATGTGCAGGGACACCTAGGGACCCATGTCATTTTAGGATCAAACAGATAGATGGACAGATGATAGATAGACAGACAGATGGATTTTTTTAACTCAAAATAGTGGTTACATCCTTAGGGAGCTGGGATTGGAGAAGAGACACTTAGCTTTGAAAGTATTGTCAAATATAGTGACCTTTCTAGTTCATTTGGGTGCTGGGTTCAGGGGTATTCATTTTATTATGCACCATAATTTATGTGAGACATTTTATTATATCAAATATTTTCTAATCTTACAGTAAGCAGTTTGGTAAACAGATTCATAACTGCATATAATGTGTAGGTCTTGTGAACAATGCTGCTGTGAATATCAGGACCCAACTGCACTTGTCTCTCACTGCCTTTTGTAAGCCTGCTCAATTGGGGAGTTCTTCCCCTTATACTGGAGATGAGAACTCAGGTAATGCCTCGACTGTTCGGATCACTGTCAGGGGATTACATGTTCTACCGTGCTGACTTTTCACTGAAAGCCCAGTCTCCACTCAATAAGTAAAAGTGTAATAATCGAAACTCCCAATTTGAGTTCCACTTAAAATCTTCTCTCTTCCCCTGCCAGACCTCTCTGCACCATCTAGGGGAGCATAGTCCCCTCTGTCCCTGCCTGACAGGGCTCTCCTCCTCAGCAGCACAGGGAGGTGTCTGACCCATCTGTGTGTGTGTGTCTATGTGGTGGGGATGGGGACCATAGCTTGGCATCCTGCCCTCTCACCCTGGCAGTTCATTGTCTCAAGCTGACTTTCTTGGGTGTTTTCATGGCTTCTTCTGAGGCCTCCCTCTGGAATATTGGATCGTAACTCCAGCAATGCAAGCAATAGGTTTTCCTCCAGCTTCTGGTCCTCCTCCTCCTCCTCCTCCTCCCCAAACCTGGTTTCTAGCAGTCACTCCACTGAGACTCAGAGTCTTCTTGGCCCAGTGCCAGCCTCTTGCATGTCCCAAACCTTGTCCTCAGGAAACACTTATGCATCCTATGCTGGGGTGAACTCTTAAGAGTGCAGGATCACCTCATGGCCACAGCCTAGCTAGGCCCTGAAACCCACACTCTGGGTTTGTCAGACGTGAGTCAGCCCCAGGCCACTGAACCTCTCCCACTGCAGGGAATCCCTGTCAAGTGGTGAAAGCCAGCATCTAGACCTGGAGTCACAGGCACCTGTAGCATAACTCCTCCTGAAATGGAGGTTTTTCTTTAGAGATTGGTCCATATCCCTTATCCCTGGACTTCTGAGAAGGGTGGACAACCTGTGGACTGGACTTGAGTCTGGAATTTAGAGAAGTGTCCATAGTAGGGCTGCCAGATGAGGCAAACACAAATACAGGATGCCCAATTAAATTTGAATTTCAGATAAATGATTTTTAATGTTTGATTCTGTCCCATGCTAAAAATTGCCCACTGTTTATGATAAGTTTAAATTTATTGGTCCATTCTGTACTTTATCAAGGACACACGCAGGAGGAACAGTAGCACAAAGGCTTCCCGGTGCCTTGTGGGTGAAAGAAAGGCTTCCAGGGAAAGGAGAGAAACACCCAGGGATCCCGGTGACGTCGGGAAGCAGCACCCAGACCATGTAAGGACACCGCCTGCAGGGGGAGACTCAAGGCCTGGGAAGGTTTTCTAATCTGTGCCTTGAGTCGGGTGGGGGGATTTTCTGGGAAAGGAAAACCAGACACAGTAGGACAAATATTGTATAGTTTCACTTATATGAAATTGTCAGAATAGGCAAGTTCGTAGAGACAGAATGTAGAACAGGGCTTTCCGGGGGCTGGAGGAGAAGACAAGGAGTTCTTGCCTAGTGGGTACAGAGTTTCTGTTTGAAATGATGAAAAACTTCTGGAAATAGATTGTGGTGACAGTTACACACCATTGTGAACATAATTAGTACCACTGAACTGTACACGTTAAAATGGTTAGTTGTATGTTTTATGTATTTTGCCATAATAAAAACTAGGGGGAAAAAAAGGAAGGGGAGATTGTCTCAGGCTGGCTGACTTTCCCTGCATGTACGCACATCTTCACATGTGCACACATGTAAAACAAAAATGAAGCAAAAAAAGAAATTCTAATTTAACCAGTAAGCAATATGTAAAAGGAAATCTGAATGTCATTACAATTTTACCAGGTTCAGAATAAAATACCATCCTTCAAAATGAACAAATTACTTATTAGCCGAAGAAAGGTGAAAGGAAGTTTGGAATTAACAGTCTAGATTTTCTCACTGATTGGTCCAAGTCACTGACCTCTAAAATTATCTTAGATCATGCCCTCCCTCCTTCCTACTTTCTGGAAAACAATCAGTCTCCTACCCTATGCTTGCCCAAAGAGTTTCCCATACAAATCACAAATCTGCACTTGCCATTCCCTGGAAGCCCTTACATTCCCAAGGCCTGGCCTCATCCACTGCCACTGCCCATGGCCCCAGTCCAGGCAAAGCAATCACTCCCTCTCCCTCTCTGTCATTCCTTTCTTTTCCTTTCACTCTCTTTCTACCCTCCTCTTCCCCACTCTCTGTTTCCTCTCTCTCTCTCTATCTCTCTCTCCCCACCATCTCCTCTCTCTGTCTCCCCCCGCCTTCTCTCTCTGTCTCTGTCTCTCTGTTTCTCTGTGTCTCTCTCTCTGTCTCTCTCTTTGTCTCTCTCTCTGTCTCTCTCTCACACACACACACACACACACACACGCACACACACACACAGCCAGCAACATTCTACCTCTGCCAGAGTTCCAGGTTGAATAGGTGTGGACTTTGACTTTCAGATTCCTCTGGCAAGTGTCAACATCAGTCCTGTTGCTCCCTGGCAGAGGAGGACTTGGAGTCACCTTGGCCAAGAAGCTGTCTGGAGGTCACAGTGGCACCGCCCATCGGCCCCTTGGCTGAGGCTAGATGAGGGCAGATTCAGCACAGCAGCAACTCTCCCCATAAAAAAAATCCCTCAGTGTCTTAGTTCTCTGACCCTTGTACTCCTTGTGAGTTTTAGAGCCACATGAACTCTTCTTTTTTCCCAATGCTTGGAGACAAAATTTACATAACCTACAGTTAGCCATTTTCAAGTGTACAGTTCCCTGCCATTTGGTACATTCACAGTGTTTTGCAAGCAACACCCATATCAAGCCCCAAAACATTTTCATTACCCAGGAAGGAAACCTGTCGTCATGGAACCGTCACTCCTCACATCCCCTTCCCCTCAAACCCTGGCAACCCCAAACCGTTCTTGACAGCCTCCTTTGGCATTTCTTCATTTTGGTGTCAGATCTCACAGCAGAATTTCTTACCTATTATATCCAGTGCCTCAGTGCGAAGTTCCAGTTTAACTTCCTGTTACCTCGAGCCCACTATCTTGCCCCAATAATACCCTCCCCCAATTCACAAACACAGACGCATTCCCTCCTACAGCTTTGGGCCTCCTATCTGAGTCCTTCAGGAAAGAAGAGCTTGTAACTCCCTTAGCAGTGAGTGTAGACTTGGTCCAAGGAAGATGAGCACCAGTCAGGGCAGCTGGCCCCTCCTCTCTCCCTGGTCTTCAGCAAATCAGCACTGCCCATCGATGCCCAGGCAATGGGAGCGTCGACCAGCAGAGGACACACCTGAATTTCTCTGCCTCATGGGAGGGCGGCCACTGTGTTGCATTTAGGAAGAAGCTGTGCAAGATTCATACTGTTTTGCTAATGTTAATCTTGTGGGCATAATAAACGTCGTACCCACACTTAACTTTCGAGATCAGACAAGATTGGGTGTGTTCAGGGTGGTATGGCCGTAGACCCCACACTTATTTTTAACACACTTCTAGGCAAGGCTGCTGCACTGGTCTGGGGATCACACTTTGAGTAGCAAAGGACTAAATTGCAATAACTGCCGGGGGGGGAGAAAAAAAAACAGGATGAACTGCTTCCTCCTGGCTCAGCAGCTAGGGAGTCACTGAACTAACAAGGGGATGGGGTGGGGATAAGAATGTTCCAGGCAAAAGGAACAACATGCCCAAAGGCCTCAAGCAGAAAGAGAGCTTCAGGTATTGAAGAAGTAGAAGTAGCTCTGTGTGGCTGGGGAGTGGGCATAAGATGGAGCAGAAGAATGCCAAGTCCTATTCCTGGGTCTGAATTTCCAGGAGCAGAAGCCCTGTCCCCTCTAGAAGGTGGATATAGTCTGGATATTTGTCTTCTTCAAATCTCATGTTGAAATGTGACCCCCAGTGTTGGAGGTTGGACCTAGTAGGAGGTGTTTAGGTCATAAGAAGTGGATCCCTCCCGAATGGTTTGGTGCCCTCCTCATGACTGAGTTGTTACTCTATTAGTTCGTGTGAGAGCTGGTTGTTTAAAAAAGCCTGGCATCTCTCTGGTTCCCTCTCTTGCCATGTGACACAACTGCTCCCCCTTCACCCTTCCCCATGAGTAAAAGCTTCCTGAGGCCCTCACCAGAGGCATATGCCAGCCCTGTGATTCTTGTACAGCCTGAAAAACTGTGAGTCAAATAAACATCTTTTCATTATAAATTACCTAGTCTCAGATATTTCTTTATAGCAACGCAAAATAGACTATCACAGAAAGTCGGTACCGAGGAGTAGGGCGTTGCTATAAAGATATCTGAAAATGTGGAAGTGGCTTTGGAACTGGGTATGAGGCAGCGGTTGGAAGAGTCTGGAGGGCCCAGAAGACAGAAAGATGAGAAAAGGTTTGGACCTTCTTAGAGATTTGTAATGTCGTTGTAACCAAAATGTGGACAGAAATATGTACAGTAAAGGCCAGCCTGATGAGGTCTCAGATGGAAATGAGGAAGTTATGGGGAACTGGAGCAAAGGTCACCCTTGTTAAGCCCTAGCAAAGAACTTGGCTGCATTGTATCTATGTCCTAGGGCTTTGTGGAAGGCTGAACTTAAGAGTAATGACTTAGGGTATCTGGTAGAAGAAATGTCTAAGCAGCAAAGCATTCAAGAAATGGCCTGGCTGCTTCTAATAGCCTATGATCAGATATTGGAGCAAAGGACTGACTTAAATTTGGAACTATTAAATCAAACTAAAATCTGGCCTGAGAAAGCCTCCTCACTCCCATACTTGAGTCCTTAAGGATGAACCATAACCTAACTTTGTAGGTAGGCCAACTGAAAACCTAACTTAGAAGGATGCTTCTGTAGCAATAGCTGAGCGTCAGCCAATCGCAGCAGCCATGCTTCAGTGACTCACAGGCAGCCTATTGTTCAAACCATGTTCAAATAAGGCAAACACCATGCTGTAACCAATTTGGCTATTTCTGTACCTCACTTCGGCTTTCTGCGTGTCACTTTACTTTTTCTATTCATAAGGTTTTTTCCGACCACATAGCATCTCTGGTGTTGCTCTGAATCTGCTGTGATTCTAGGGACTGCCTGATTTGTGAATTGTCTTTTTTTTTTTCTTCAAAATTAAATTCTGTTAAATTTAGTTTGTCTAAGGTTTTTCTTTTACCAGATCTGGTGTTGGAAGTGCAATTTGAAGTAAAACTCTGGTGACCTCCAGGAACACCAGGTGACCAGGCCAGTTGTGCTCACTGATCTCTTGATTGTAACTGGAGGTTGTAGATGCGTTTTCTCTTGGATTCAGAGCTCCACTAATGTGTATTCTAATTGAAGCTCTCCAACTTTACTGGAGCGATATTAAAGTGGACTGGGTTCAGGATCAAATTTGAATCAATAATTAACTGGATTAGGTTCCGTTAGAGCCTCAGACCTATACTAGGCACTTTTTTTTTTTTTTTTTTTTTGATAATGGGTTTGTCTCAATCCAAAGATTCTGGGACTCTACCTTCTGGGACTCCATCTAATTTGATATGTAAAATTATGGACCCAGAATATGTGCATTTTTAGAAAAATAGATTAACCTTACTAGAGAAAAGATGGCCACAATGGGGAAGTTTTAATTTGTATAAAATTGTTTATTTGCATGGCATATTAGAAAAAGGGGGTCAAAACCCCACAAAAACAGTGGGATATAGTCTTTCATTGGTACATGGAAGCCTCTAAAAGACAAAATGAATGAAAACTTGCCTCCTTAAAAGATTCTTCGCAAAAGCAAGTGAACAGCTTAAGTAACAGGCTAAGGACATGATGAAAGAGAACTGTACTCTGACTGAACTAACCCCAACTGATTCTTCTCTTTATGCATCTCTACCTACGTACTCTGAGTCTACTAACCTTTTTACTAAATTGACCTTTCACTCTCAAGATGATGAAAAAAGAGGAATTAGATGTACGCCTCACAAAGGAAGACCTTCTGATTATCCAGGCCTGCCTGCTATAACCACTTTCACTCCATGGTCTAAAACTGAGCTTAGAGCTATTGTAGAAGACTTCCCTGATCTAGGAGAGAATCCTCAAAAATTGACTGAGGAGTGTAGAATCCTCATAGGAGATTATGATCCAGGACTCCCTGACAAAGGTTCATATAAATTTATTCATATGATATGGAGGCCTGGTGAAGCTCAAAAATGGATGGCAGCAGCAGAATGGAACAAACCGGAGGAAGATATTAAAGACTCTGCCCCTACTGCCCGCCCCCACAAAACTTCCTCATGAGAAGGCCCAACAGGAGCTAGAAATATTGCTGCAAATCCCAGCCTGGGCAACATGGCAAAACCCTGTCTATACGAAAAATACAGAAAGTTAGCTGGGCATGATGGCACACGCCTGTAGACCCAGCTACTTATGAGGCTGAAGTGGGAGGATCACCTGAGCCTGGGAGCTTGAGGCTACTGTGAGCCATGACTGTGCCACTGCACTCTAGCCTGGGTAGCAGAGCGAGACCCCATCTCAAAAGAAAAGAAGGAAAAAAAAATTGCTGAAAATCTTTTAAATTCAAGTGCTAAAATTTTTCCGCAAAAGTTGATTGGTACATCATACAATATTGTAAACCAAAAAAAGAATGAACCAGTGTCAGATTACAGAACTTGCTTAGAAATAATGTGAAACATTCTGGGCTCAGAGTACCAGCAAGGAGTATTTCCTGCAGGGACTGAAATGGTATTAACTACTCTATTTATAAAGGGACTTCATCCTGAACTTAGAAATTTAATTAGAAAACATAAACTCGGATGGGAAGTTACAGCCATGACTGAATTGGTGGCTCTAGCTGAACATTTTGAGAGGACTGTAGAGCAAGAAAAAACCCAAAAGGCTAACAAGCTTATGACTGTTCAATTACAACAGTTACAGGGGCCAAGACCAAAGGGATCTTCTCATTCTCATTTTAAATCACAACCAAGAGGTATTAGACCAAGAAATTCTTCACCCTAAGATGTCTGCCTTATTGCAAACAACCAGGACAGTGGAATAGGGATTGTGCCCTTTTATACCAGCCCACCAATGACCCTCCCTTTAGGCCAGCCTGTTTCACCACTAGAGGGAGCACAAGAGACCTTAGCTCTCCTGAAGATAATCAGCATTGAAGCGGCTCTGAGGGATTTCCCAGTATATTGCTCCTCATAACACCCTTAAAAGAATATGGAGAAACAGAGGTTACAATAAATGGGGACTCATGTATAGTCTTGGTGGATACCAGAGCTACCTTATCTGCCACTACCGTAAAACACACTTTCATACGCCAACAGATCCCTCAGAGTTAAAAAGGCTATTTCTGTGGTTGGGGTTTCAAATCAAATTCAAGAGGTTCCCATATCTGAACCCGTCCAATTGACTTTGGGGCACTCTTCAGAAAATCACACTTTTTTACTGTATGATAGTGCTCCAGTAAATTTGCTAGAGGGAGATTTACTTTCAAAGCTGAAAGGGCATAGAAGACTACCTATTGGGTACATTGTACACTGCTTGGGAAATGGGCACACTAAAATCTCAGAACTCACCAGTAAAGAACTTGTCCATGTAACCAAAAACCACCTGTACTCCCAAAACAATTGAAATTGTTTAAATTAAAAAATTTTTAAAAGTGGGGAGGATGTAAAATTTTCCTTAGAAGGAGTAAGAATCAGTTTCCTGATTCTCCTGAACCAGAATTGTTATGCTCTCTATAGGCAGAAATTAATAAGATTGAAACTCAGGCCTGTAATGCCTGATCTTCCAAAAATACATGAATGTTTATGGGTCTCTTCCTCAACTGACACAGGAAGAATTTAAAGTGTGGAACTTATAAAAGTCCAAATAGACCACTCTAAACTTTTGCCTAAATTACCCAATATCCACTAAAACTAGAAGCAATTCAAGGGCTCTCGCCAATTATAGAAGATTTAATTAAACAGGGACTTATAATTCTATGCACCAGCCGTTGTAACACTCCAATCCTACTGGTTAAAAAAAAAATGGATGAGGTTGAAGATTTATTCAAGATTTATGGGCAGTTAACAAAATTGTAGTAGCAAGGTTTCCTATAGTCCCAAATCCTAATACTTTATTATCCAGTATACATGCTGATTCTTAAGTGGTTCACAATATTAGATCTCTGCTCAGCCTCTTTTTGCAATCCAATTCGTAAAGAGAGTCAATGCTTATTTGCCTTCACTTGGAAAAATCAGCAGTACCCCTAGACTGTGATGCCGCAAGGGTTTACCGAAGCCCCTTCGTATTTTTCCCAGGCCTTGCATCAGGACTTAATGACATTATAGTTTCCTTAAAATTCTACTCTCATTCGGTACATAGATGACTTACTATATGCTCTCCCACTAAAGAGTGCTCTGAAATGGACTCAGTTTACCTTTTACAGCAACTCACACATCAAGGTCAGAAAGCTTCAATAGAAAAACTTCAGTTTTCAAGGGGAAAAAGTCCATTATTTGGGACATGACTTGAAGGGATTTCCCTCTCACCTAAAAAGTTAAAAACTATTCAAAATTTTCCTTGGCCTGCAACCAAAAGATAATTAAATAGTTTTCTTGGACTTGCAGGATATGTTTTTAGACTTGCAGGATATAAAATTCCTGGGTTCTGAATTTTTCCTTAATAGCCTCACCATTTCATGAGCTCCCTAAAAAATGCTGTACCAGAGCCTTTATCTTGGGATGATAGTTACGAGCAGGCTTTTAGCTAAATAAAATTGACCTTGTAACAGCCTCCAGCTTTAGGACTTCCAAATTGCACTAAACTGTTTACCTAATTGGCTCATGAAAGTAATAATCAGGCATTTAGGAGTTCTTACCCAGGAACATGGGGAGAAACATAGGCCCATTGCATATTATAGCCTGCAATTAGACCCAGTAGCTAAGGTATATCCTAACTATTTAAAAGCAGTAGCAGCAGCAACCAGGATGAAAGAAGCTTCAGCTGATCTGGTTTTAGGAAATGAATTTAATTTGGAAGTCCCACATGCTAAATTCCACCCAAACCCAGCATTTTTTAGTAAGTAGACTAACATGAAATACTCTGTCTCCTTCTAATCTCTCTCTAAAACACTGCAATTTACTTAACCATGCCACTGTATTACTGCTGCCTGATGATGGTGAAGACCACAATTGCATAAGTGTAGCATCAGAAATAGTGGCCCCTCATGTTAATTTACAAGTTAGTCCTTTGGACAATCCTGAGTTAATACTTTTGTTGATGGGTCCTATGCCAAAAGCTCAGAAGGAAAATATCAGCTAGGATATGCTGTTACCAAAATGAGTTAATAGAGAAGGGACCCCTTCCTCTATTAGTCAGCTCTATTAGTCTAAGCTCTATAAGTCAGCTTAACTCTTGAAGATTTTTGCCCTCACCCAAGCTTGTCGTATAGCTAAAGACAAATCAGTAAGTATTTAGACAGATAGTAGATACGCTTTAGGAGTAGTACATGATTTTGGCATGATAGGGAAACTCTAAGGGTTTCTCACTTCTAGTGGGATCACCATCAAAAATGGACTCCAGTTAGATAAACTCCTAGTTTGCTGTTAGTGATCGAAGCTCATACCTGCAGAACTGAACCTGAATATCAAGGGAATGCTTAGCAGATATTTATGCTAAATCAGCTAGTACTGAAACTGTTCAGATATGCAACCTGAATGAACTTCATAAGATTAATCCAATCCAACTACCTTACAATGACCTATTTAATAAACAGTGCAATGCACCTCATTTGGAAAAACAAAACTGGTATCTAAAAGGATATAAATTCAATGTTAAGTGCAGACTCACAGAGGGCCTAGATGGCTGTCTGGTCTTTCCTGAGTCTTTGAAGCTTCTATTTTCAAAAGCTCTGTACTCCACAACTCATCATGGAACAGAAAAATACGTCCAAATTGTGAAAAAATACTTGTGGGATGATTGTTCCAAAATTGCTAGAATATATATATATATATATATGTATATATATTTTGAGACGGAGTCTCACTCTGTCACCCAGGCTGGAGTGCAAGGGCGCGATCTCAACTCACTGCACACTCCACCTCCCTGGTTCAAGTGATTCTCCTGCATCAGCCTCCCGAGTAGCTGGGACTACAGGTGTGTGCCACCATGCCCGACTAATTTTTTTTTATTTTTAGTAGAGATGGGGTTTCACCATGTTAGCTAGGATAGTCTGGATATCCTGACCTTGTGATCCACCTGCCTCGGCCTCCCAATATGCTAGGCTTACAGGCATTATCCACTGCACCCAGCCTGCTAGAATATTTTATAACCAATGTTGGCTTGTCAAACCCATAGTCCTGGAAAAACAAAAGATTCAGGTGGTGTATTGTATTTTCACCACCTAATGGATCATTTGAACAATTATAGATAGACTTCATTCAGTTGCCACCTTCAATGGGGGTCTCAGTATGTTCTTGTAATAGTTTCCATGTTTTCTGGTTGGGTAGAGGCCTTCCTGTGTAGGAAAGCTGATGCTGTGACAGTAGCTAAGAAATTATTAGAAAATGTGTTTTCTTTATGGAGCATCCCTGGAAAAATCCCCAGCAATAGGGGAATTCATTTTATTAGGCAGGTTATAAAGCAGTTAAACAAGGTGTTATGGACACAATGGCACTACCATTGTCCCTATCGCCCTCAGTCTTCTGAAAAGGTTGAAAGAACAAATGGCATATTAAAACTGAAATTGGCAAAGTTAACTGAATCAGTTGGGTTGCCTTGGCCAAAGGTACTATCATTGGACTTAATGACAATCAGATCCACTCTCACTAAAAAACAGAAGTGGATCCCTTATGAAATAGTCACTAGAAGGCCTATGCCCCAATAGTGAAACCTCATGCATCTTTCTGTCTCCTAAATTCTGATATGAGTAAGTACTGCAAGGCCATTATACCAAAGTGTACTTTCACCAGATAAAGGAAGCTTTTCAAGATCCACCAACTGAGGATAATCAAACCTTCCACAGTCTAGAACCTGGAGATTGTGTCTTCTGGAAATGACATCAGAGAAAGGCTGCTCTTGACAACTCTTTGGAAGGGACCGTGCTGAGATCTTCTCAACACCTACACTGCAGTGAAGCTTCAGGGCCTTGAAACTTGGGTCCACACCTCACAACTCAGAAGGGCCTCTTCAGACTCCTGGAACTGTACACCTGCTGGAGACTTTAAGGTAAAGCTGTCTAAGGAAATATCTCTCCAGAGCAGCGGGCATTCTAGCTGTGGACAGCTTTCCCAAGATCACAGATCAAGACTTCTGTATCATCATGAAAGCCTTACATTTTTTCTTTTCTCCGCATTTCCTGTTGCCCTAATTCTTTCTTTTTCCCTACAGAAAAATCCATGGGACGATAATCAGTGGATGGCTTTAGCTTGAGCATATGCTCTAGCACAGAACCAGAGTTTGTGGCTTATTGGGTTTGTTTTTATTGCCAAAAAAATAAGGAAACAATTCCGCTAATGCCAATGCCTCTCCATGTTGCCAATGAGAGTCACCCCAAAATTCCAAGGGAAGGATAGAAAGCTATCCTTGATATTCTGAACACCATTGCTACTTGTTTTCCTGCACTCACTAAAAGCAACACTTTAACTTTTCCTTTTTTTTTTTTTTTCTGAGGCAGTCTCACTCTGTTGCCTAGGTTGGAGTGCAGTGGCCTTATCTTGGCTCACTACAGCCTCCACCTCCAAGGTTCAAGCAATTCTCCTGCCTCAGCCACCCAAGTAGCTGGGACTCTAGGCATGCACCACCGCATCCAGCTGATTTTTGAATTTTTAGTAGAGACTAGATTTTGCTATGTTGGCCAGGCTGGTCTCGAACCTCCTTGCCTCAAGTGATCCACCAGCCTCGGTCTCCCAAAGTTCTGGGATTACAGGCGTGAGCCACCATGCCTGGCCTTAACTGTTTCAATTAATAACCTGATCAATACCAAAATATAGAAAACCAGTCCAAGTGATGCCTGCAAAAGATATATTGTGCTTTCAGGCATCATGCACTCAAGTTACGGGAATTACCTATGTGAGTACAAGTAATTGCTTGTATAATATCACCAGATTAAATTCAACAGGGTCTCTTTTTACTAAATGTGTTATACACCCTTACAACATACTACAGGGCGAGCACAAAAAGGTCAATTTCCCAGTGGATTTTGTTCAGGAGCTGTGTAGGTTTATTAATGAACAAATCTAACTGACCCCTGCTCAAATGCAACTATGTGGCCCTGTTTTTCAACTCCCAAGGGCCTATACTGGGTCTGTGGATAATCTGCGCATTTCATTCTGCCTCCTCGTTGACTCAGACCTTGCTGTTTGGTCTGGCTCACTTCTGCCTTTCAAATAGTTTCACCTAAAAATTCTCCTAACAGCTCTTATGATTGGAGGCCAAAATAGACAATAACTGAAATTAGCACTAGCTTTGAAATAGACAAAGATAAGCTAGTTTCCACTGAGGAAAGATTCCAGTGGGGTTCCTGGGGACTCACTCTTGGTGGTGGTGGGATACTAGTTGTATGGAATCTGAAGCTAATCCATATTTGGGGTCTTGGATTTTATAGCCAATCAGACATCCCAATGTTCCAGACAGGTAGAAGCTACTCTCCAAAAGGTAGATGTGGCCTGGTGCAGTGGCTCATGCCTGTAATTCCAGCACTTTGGGAGGCTAAGGCAGGTGGATCACCTGAGGTCAAGAGTTCGAGACCAGCCTGCCCACCATGGTGAAACCCCATCTCTCCTAAGTACAAAAAATTAGCCAGGCATGGTGGCGTGTGCCTGTAGTCCCAGCTACTTGGGAGACTGAGGCAGGAGAATTGCTTGAACCCAGAAGACAGAGGTTGCAGTGAGCTGAGATCACCCCACTACACTCTAGCCTGGTTAACAGAGCGAGACCCTTTCTCACAAAAAAATAAATAAATAAATAAATAAATAAATAAATAAATAAATAAAATAAACGAGGTAGATGTTACAGTTAATGGAACATCATGCAGCTTCATATCTCCTTTTTACTCAAGCTGGGGCCTATGTTTGGTATTGAACAAAATGGAATGCTGCAATTTTCTCTCTACTGATTTTGTTACTACAGAAAGCTTAATGTAAAGGTGGCTGATACTGCTGTTTCCTTAGACACTGACACCAAATACAATAAAGAAGTCTCTCAAGAGGAAAACATGGTGTGTTTACAGGAGCAACTAACAGTTGGTTTGTAGGCATCCTAAATGGTGGATGGCAAGCTTGGGTTTCCCAAAGGTTTCTAGTCTTTATATGTCTTCTAGTAGGTGTCCAGGTTAGTATGGCCTGTGTTACCAGAGTAACAATGAAAATGGCTACGTCTTTAAATCAGGCCACTTTACAGTGAACTATGGTCCTTAATTGCTATCACATTTCAAACAAGAACTATGACCAATTAAACTTTACTATTGTTGAACTGCCTATGTTGCCTGAACTTTGACTGGTTTAAGTTGGTTTCATTTATTTCATAAGAACTCTTGTTAAGGGGTGCACCTTGGTATTTTGATATTATTCTCTTGATAGTCATAATAATAGTTCCCTGGTGTGCTGCATCCTCTCAAGTCATAAATGTTTTGTATGCAGCCATACATTGAGAATTGAATGGTCTCACTTCAACTAGGTCAGCAAGAACATAAAGAATCATTTACCTAGTGTGAAGTTGTGACTTGTGAACTTCATAGTGACACCAATAAAGACTTGTGAACTCCATACTGAGACTAAAAGGACTTGTGAATTCCATACTGAGCCAATTTACAATAGTGGGAGAGTGGCATCAATGCCTAAACTTTTGATCAATCTCTCTAAATTGAGAGTCTGACAAAGAGAGGGGAGTTGATAAATGAAACTCAAATCCGGCCTGAGGAAGCCTTCATATTGCCATGCTTGAGTTCTTAAGGGTGAACCGTAATGTAACTAGTAGGCAGGCAGACTGAAAACCTAACTTAGGAGGATGCTTCTTTAGCAATAGCTGAGTCTCAGCCAATCCCATTGGCCATACTTCAACCACTCACAGGCAGCCGACTGTTGGAATCATGCCCAGATAAGGCAAACACCAAGCTGTAACCAATCTGGCTGTTTCTGTACCTCACTTCCATTTTCTGTATGTCACTTTCCTTTTTCTGTCCACAAATTTGCTTTGACAACACAGCATCCCTGGTGTCTGTCTGTATCTGCTGTAATTCTGAGGGCTGCCCAACTTGCAAAATATTTATTTTTCTTGCTCAATTACTCTGTGAAATTTAATTTGTCTAATGGATTTCTTTTAACAGAACTTATAATTAAAATGGAGAGCGGGTGTAAATATTTATAAAACTTGCAGCCTGGCCATGTGGTAGACAAGGAGGAATCCAAGCAGCCTGCTGAGCAACTACTTGCTGGAGACATTAGCATGTCTAAAAGGGAGCCAGGTGCTAATATTCAAGACAGTGGGAAAAGGCCTCAGAGGCATTTCAGAAGGCCCCTCCTATCACAGGCCCACAGGCCTAGGAGGACTGAATGGTTTCAGAGACCAGGCCCAGGACACCATTGCCCTATGTCACCTCAGGATGCTACTTCCCACATCCCAGCTTCTCCAGCTCCAGCCTTGGCTCAAAGGGCCCCAGGTGAAGCGCAGACCACTGCTTTGGAGGGTACAAGCCCTAAGCCTTAGCAGCTTCCATATGTTTTTTTTTTTGTCTTTTTTTTTTGAGACAGAGTCTTGTCCTGTCAACCAGGCTGGAATGCAACAGCACGATCTCAGCTCACTGCAACCTCTGCCTCAAAGGTTCAAGTGATTCTCCTGCCTCAGTATCCCAAGTATCTGGGATTGCAGGCATGTGCCATCATGCCCAGCTAATTTTGTATTTTCAGTAGATACGGGGTTTCACAATGTTGGTCAGGCTGGTCTCCAACTCCTGACCTCAGGTGATCCACCTGCCTCAGCCTCCCAAAGTGCTGGAATTACATGTGTGAGCCACCATGCCCAGCCTTCCATATGGTTTTAGGTCTGCAGGCTTGCAGAATGCAAGAGTGAAGGAGGCTTGGGAGCTTCCACCTAAATTTCTGAAGATGTATCAAAAAGCCTGGGTGCCCAGGCAGAAGCCTGCACAGGGCGGAGACCCCACAGAGAACCTCTACTAGGGCAGAGCCATGGGAAAACATAGGGTTGGAACCCCCATACAGGGTCCTCACTGGGACATTGCCTAGTGGAGCTGTGGGAATGGGGCCAATGCCTTCCAGACACCAGAAAGGTAGAGTCGCCAGCAGCTTGCAACCTCAGCATGGAAGACCCACAGGCTCAATCCCAACCTGTGAGAGCAGCCATGTGGGCTGCACCCAGCAAAGCCATAGAGACAGGGCTGCTCAAGGCCTTGAAAGCCCACTCCTCTCACCAGTATGGAGTTAAGGAAGATGATTTTGGAAGTTTCAGATTTAGTGTTTGCCCTGCTGGGTTTCAGACATGTGTGGGGCCTGTTGCCTCTTTCTTTTGGCCAATTTCTCGCTTTTGGAATGGGAATGCCTACCCAATACCTGTAACACAGTTGTATCTTGGAAGTATGTAACTTGTTTTTGATATAACAGCCTCATGGGTGGAAGGCATTTGCCTTGAGGCTCAGATGAAACTATGGATTCTGGACTTTTGAGTTGATGCTGGAACAAGCTGAGACATTGGGAAACTATCAGGAAGGGATGGTTGCATTTTGCAATGTGAGATGACATGAGATTTTGGGGTAAGAGGCAGACTGATATAGTTTAGATGTTTGTTCTCTCCAAATCACATGTTGAAATATGACCCCCAATGTTAGAGGTAGGGCCTAGTGGGAGGTGTTTCGCTCATAGGGGTGGATTCCTCATGAATGGGTTGGTGCTCTGTCCATGGTAATGAATGAGTTCTGGCCCTGTTAGTTCACATGTAAGCTGGTTGTTTGAAAGCACCTAGCATCTTTCTTGTGTGCTGTCTCGCCGTGTGACACACCTGCTCCCCCTTCAGCTTCCACCATAAGTGAAAGATTCCTGAGGCCCTCACCAGAAGCAGATGCCTGCACTGTGCTTTTTGTACAGCCTGCAAAACCATGAACCAAATACACCTCTTTTCCTTATAAATTACCCAGTCTCAGGTATTCTGTTATGATCCCCTGGAAGAGTTATACTACTTCCAGGTCTAGACCATGGTAAATCCCACACTCCCCTCTGAGGCCACCTTCTTCCCTCTGCAGAGACCCTGTGGTTAGAGTGGATTGGTTGTGTCTCTGGCCCCAATTCTTCTCCCGAGGCTGCATTCCACCCTTTTGCTATGTGACTTTGCAGCCCTTCATGATCATTACAGAGGCAGGTTCCTCTCTCCTTGAATTTGGGGAAGATGCGACGCATGCAGGAGTTTGAAAACACGTTTGTTTGCTTCTGCTTTTGTTTTTGCTCCTCTGCAATTTCCTTGAAACCATGCCTGAGCTAGCCTGAGGGAAAATGAAAAAGCACCATTGAGCTAATCTTTCAGCCAATCCCACTGCATTTGCACAATGCAGTCTGAGACCAGAGGAACTGCCCAGCCAAGCTCAGGCAAAATTGCTGACTTCAGACTCATGAGCTAAATAAATATTGATTTCATTTTATGATTGTTCTTATGCAACATTATCCTGGCACTAGAAAAATGAAACAGATGGGAATCAAAAAGACTGAATGAAGCAGAAACCCAGAAGCTACCCCACAGGCAATCGCATGGGACTCAGATGTTAATGGACAATAAGCTTTTATTGCACAGAAAGGTCATTGCAGTCAGAGGTTGGGGATTGCTTGCTGCTACAGCCGAATGGATTCTATTCTGACCAATACAGAAGGAAAGAAATCATAGACGCCCTGCCTGAGCAGAAGGGAGGTGATAGATGAAATGAACTGTATGAAGATCCACCAGCCTGGCCCACACGTGGAAGAAGGACTGGCCCGTCTTCTTGAAGCCCAAGCTCTGGTAGAGGCCCATGGCAGAGAGCTGGATGTTGCTGGTGTCCAGGACAACTTCACTGTAGCCCTAGTCCCGGGCAAACTGGAGGACAGTCCTGACCAGGGCTTTTGCTATCCCCTGACCACGGTGCTCATTGTCCACAGAGAGATGAAACAGCTGCAACCGCTTCTCCCTCAAGGTGGGATCATCAACGGGCAGAGCTCCTACTGTGCCCACCACCTTCTCTTCAGATTCACCCACCCAGAAGCAGGAGCCACACTCACTCAGGTAGGATTTGGTGATGTCAGACATGTCTGTGCGCAATGCTATGTCTACATACCGCGTCCAGGGTTTTTTGGCAAGGAACCACAGGGCAGGAAGGAGGCTGAGGCTGAACACGAGGGCCAGAATCCAGGAGCCAGAGACCAGGAGTAGGGCAAGGGCCCCCCCAAGTAAGAGTATGAGGGTTCGAGGCAGCTTCAGTAATCGCCGGAAGGTGGCTGGGGCGTGTTCGGCCATCCCCCGGGAGAGCAAGCCCACGACCTACTTGCGGTCGCTCTCCTGGTATTTGCGGATGTGATAAGGAGCCATGGACAGACTTCTGTGTCTGAAGTCACTGAGTCCAGGAAACAGAGCTAGGCCTCCCTGCACGCCTTTACGCCAGGCCTGGGGAAGAGAGAGGAAACCACGTGAGTGCCTGCATGGCTCCCAGCCTTGCAGGAACAGGGAGACCTGCTTAAGGGTGTGTCTTTCCGCGTTTGCCCATGAGGAAGCAGGCCTCTGCCACTGGGAGAAGGTAGCATGAGAAAGACCTGCATTGGAATCTGGCTCCATGCCTTTCTAGCTGTGTGACCTTGGGCATGTCACTTAACCTCTCTGAGCCTCCACTTCTTCATCTATAGAACAGGGGAGAAGAAAACCTGCCTTCTAGAGTTGTTTCGAAGATTGAATAAAATACCTTCTATAAAGCCCTGATAGATGAACTACCCACCACTCTTCCCTCTGTTTCCTTTTTCTGGCTCTCTCAGCTTCTTGGTGCATTGAGAGAGTACCTACCTCAGGCAGGCCACATGCCCAACCCTTTGGTGCTTCTCCAGGGACCATACATCGCAGAAATCCTGTGACCAAGCACAAGTTTCAGGAAAGGCTCCCTCCAGCTTTATTGTAAGTTTTTAGGTTGCTGAGGTGGCATAAGTGCCAAGCATAAAAAACAGCCCAGCCTCCAGATCCCAAGGAAGGTGCATGCTCAGAGCACTGTCCTTCCACCCAGTCCCCTCACCTGTCACCACAAGAGCCTTGAGTGTCCAGGGAGCTTCAGCTGTCAGCCGCTCACTGGCATCCAGGAGATACCGTCTGGGGCTTGCTCACCCCTGGAAAGCAGGCTGCCTGCCTCATTGCTTGGCTCCTGAATGTTTGGTAATCATCAACCCTAGGGTCAAAGAGCTGGGCTGTAACACAGCAGGGAGCCCAGTGTGCATTCCCCTTTATAGTCAAAGGGAATGGCCTGGAGGGGGAAACTCAGGGTCTGGAACCGCCTGGGTTCCTTGCCCTTCTGGAAGGCCTGCCACCTCTCTTGCCTGTTCAGGCCCTGGGCATCTTTCTGCCACCTGGCACACTTGATACTCTCTGAGATCCACCTTGGTCCCTGTACACATATACCACGAGCCTGAGAACTGTGCCATTCACCCTGCACTCAGTCACCATTGGCCAGAAGCCGAGTCCCCACACTTGGCAACAAGGCCCTTCCCAGCTAGGCTTCTCCATGCTGAGGTTTCCCTGGTCCACAAAGCATCGATTGTTGGCAGTTCTTTGCACTCACCTCACCAACCCCCACCTCCACCCATTCATTGATTCAGTCAACAGGTGTGTGCGATGCACTTCCCATGTCTGGGGGTCATTTCAGCCATGAGCAAGGTTGACATTCGGCTGACAGGCATGGCTGTGTGTGGCTTGTGTGTGTTCTGGCTGTTGGTCAGAGGCTGTGCCACACCCGTTGTTAAATATTTTGCACTGCAGATGTTGGAGAGGCCCAAATTCAAGCTCTTGTACCCGACGTGGAGCTGATCCCAAACACTGACACATGGGTGCTTGGAGATAGAGAAAGTTGTATTCGATTTGGCCAAAGCAAGAAGGCAGGAGAGGAAGATCTCTCAACTTCAGTTCAACAAAGAAGCAGCAGCAGAATGTTTTTATGCAGCTAGAGAGTGAGGAAGGGGGAGTTCAGGGGGATTGAGAGGAAAAGTCTGTGTTTCCTCAGTCTGAGATAACACCTTGTGCAACCAGGCTTCTCAGTGTCAGCAGCTGGTCACAGTGTCCTTCAAGGCATTCATTCCTTCTGCAAACTTTTCCTGACCCTGAAGGAATGTCTTCCTGCTGAACAAAGAAACAGTGCATGAGCAGTTTATCATTATGTTGTGGGAACAAGGAATATTGGACCAAAAGCAAGTGGTTAACATGTGCAAGCCAGCAACGGTCTGATCAGAATGTTCATTATTTCAGTCACTAAAACATGGTATGGTGCTGAAATCTCAAGGGGCCCAATTACAAGGATGCAACATATACAAGATAGGCAAAAGCAAAACCTAACAGAAAAAGCCCTTTTCCACACCAACTTACATGCTATTGAAGGGAAACTTCCCTAAAAGATTAGCCAACCCATTGTTGATCAGCCACGCTGGGCCCGTCATCTAGGTTAGGTAGTTTGGACTCTATTCCAAGAGCAAGGGGAGGACATTGATATGCACAGAGGGGAGAAGGGGTGTGTGTGTGTGTGTGTGTGTGTGTGTGTGTGTGTGTGTGTGTGTGTGTGTGCGCGCTTCACTCTGGCTGCAGGTGGACAATGGATCTGAGGAGGTGGGAATGGAAGCAGCTACCCCTTAAGGCTAGTGCCGCATCCAGGCAACAGCAGGGCCCCCAGTGCAGGGATGCAGGTGCTCACTGTACAAGAGCAGCTGGCCCAGAGGGGCTGGTAGGAGCTAAAATCGGGCCTCCCGTTGCCAAGCCATGAGCCATGGCACGAAACTGAGACTGGCCAAAGGAAAAGGCAACCTTTTCTTATTTGCTCGAAGGCATTGCTTGCCTGCTAAACTCTGCATCCAGTGGACTGCATGGCTTGAGGCTGTGCCTAGCTCTGTGTTCACAAAGAAGCCGCCTGGGCTAGCAGAGGCCCATGAGACAGCAGTGGCTTCAACAGAGGGAGGAAGTCAAGAATGTGAGACATGAGCCACATGGAGGTGCACTTGGGGCAGAAATGGCAGGAGTTGGAATGATTCACACAGGGAGGAGGATGAGGAAGGGCTCAGAGATGACAGCCAGGCTTCTGGTAGGGGCATTCAGGAAAACACTGGAGAGAGCCCAGATCTGGAAAAGTCAAGGCTTCCCCTAAAGGTGCTGCCCTGCAGCCTTCCTCAGCAGAAACCAGAGGCTGGGAGTCAGCAGCAGGAACCCAGGGCCAGCCAGTGGAGGCTGCTGAGATTCCAGATCTTTGGTACCCAACACCACCTCCGAGGAAAAGTCTAAGGAGCATCAAGTCTGGGCAGGAAGTCCATGGCTTATCTTTAGAGTGTTCTCAGAACAGTTCAGTGTCAAGCAGGAGTTGGCCTAGGAATTACAAGAGGTGAGCAGCTGCTTCAAAGCACCACTGAGTACTTCTAGTGTGAGTCTGACCAATATTCAGAGTCAGAAACCTGCCGGTCACTTGGAGGGGGAGAGGTTTGTGCTCCGTCCCTGTGTGCTGTCTCTTCCTCCATGCTCACCCGTGGCTGTGGCTTCCTCAAAACACAGCGACCTCACTTGACATTCAGGCATCTCTTGCTCCCAGGATCTACTGTGACTTCTGCATTTTTGTAGCTTTCCTGATAAAAGCCTGGGCTTTCCTTGTCAGACCTGAAAGATTCATTTATTCATTCAACAAACAGTTCCCGAGGACCTGAGGTGTGCCGGGCCTGGACTTGGCATGAAGGCACCAGATGTTGGAAGCGAGGCTGCCGCCCAGGAGGACACACCTGATGGGGCTCTGGGAACAGGATGATGGTGGAGACATCACATCCGGAATAACTTTGTTAGGAGGGTTGAACTTGACAGTTAGGACTTTTATGTTGCACTTGTTGAAAAGCCACCTAAAATTGTCATAAGTAAGAGAGGTGATCTAATGGCCCATGAAACTGCCAACTCCAGGAAGACAGACAGGGTGACCTGAAAGTGGGTTTGACCTGTTGGTTTTTCTGCCATTCTGTGGGTGGCATCAGCTTCCTGCCAAGACTGGCACTGCATAGGATGTCGGGTGTTTGCCAGCCCAGTTGAAGCTGTCTGCTTCCTTGCTCACCAACAGCAGAAAGGTGGGGGCTATTCCCCACATTCCAGGTGACAGAGAAGGTTTACATGGGGACTCAGTCACACTTTCTGGGGACTGTACATTTCATAGCAGAATCCAGGTTATATTAAAGGAGTCCTGGCCGAAGGATGCCAGCACCCCATAGAGATGGAGAGCCCCAGGGAGCTCAAGGGCTGAGGGGCTGAGGGGCTGAGTGACAGTGAGCACTGCCCACAGAGGGGGTGCCCTGCAGTCAGGAGGGGTGGGAAACGGGTGCAGATCGGCAGCCAACAGAGGCCCACCCACATGAGCACAGGTGGAGTTGCTGGTGCGATGAAGAGTGTGCTGGTTGGGAGTGGAGGGCTGGGGGCCGGTAGCCGGTTTGGGAAACCCAAGCTGAGCGAAAGGTGTGCCAAGGCCTGTGGTGGTGCCTGTTAACAGAAAAATCAAACTGTTAGATGATCTGAAAGAGGTATCTTCTGAGCCAATATGAGTGACCACGGTCTGGGGATCTCAAGAGGTCCTGAAAACGTGTGCTGGGGCCGTCGTTTTCTACATTTGAGGGGACAGGAATTGGAGTAACATCATAAATTAATCCATGGAAGGTGTACATTGACTGGGCCTAACAAGGTGGGATATTGTGAAGCAGCAGGGGGCATTATAGATCACAGGTGGATTCAAAGATTTTCCGATTGGCAATTGGTTGAAAGAGTTCAGCTTTGTCTAAAGACCGTGAAGTTGGTACAAAAGAATGCTTCAGTTCAGAGAGAGGGGTCTGCCTCTGCCACGTGATGCTGTCCCAGAGTCAGGTAGGAAAGTCAGCCACAGTATCCTGGGTCAATTTAAACCCCACTGAAGGAGACTCTGTGGTTTCTAGGGTGTGTGTTAATTCTTGCCTTGCAAGGCCTTAAGTCTTGTTCATAATCTGTTACTGATTGTCACAGAGTCCATTCTGAATAATCTAATGATGCCTATTTTAACATTCATGCCAGTCAAGTGATTCTCCTGCCTCACCCTCCCAAGTAGCTGGGACTACAGGTACACGCCGCCATGCCCGGCTAATTTTTGTATTTTTAGTAGATACAGGGTTTCACCATGTTTGTTAGGCTGGTCTCGAACTCCTGACCTCGTGATCTGCCTGCCTCGGCCTCCTAAAGTGCTGGGATTACAGGCAGGAGTCAGCACGCCAGGCCCAGAGTTTTCTAAATGAGACTTGGTGTAGCCAGTGAGCTTCTGTTGCCTGCTGTGACATGGGTGCTATTGTTCCCATTAAAAACTCAGACCTCTGCCTCGGGAGACAGGGCTCAGCTGCAGCCTACTCAACTAAAACATGAAGCGCTGCTTCGTGGGCACCACAGCGGCTCCTTAAACTTGCAATGGTGTGCAAATTTGTGGGCTCACTTTCTACATCCGATCTTCAAAGGTGTCTGCGATCCCAGAAGGTTGGGAACTATTAAATTTGATCATTTCTGAAATGTCTTCCAGTTTAAAAGTCTTCAGTTCCAGTTCATTTTCAATTCCTGAATAAAGGGATGAGTCTTGGAGCTTCTGGAAGCTGGCCTGGAACTGAGCACTTACTGCAGACAGTGCCTGAAGTGCAAACCCAAAGGTGCGTAGATCTGGGCTGCATGTGAAAGCTTTCATATTCAGGTCTTACTTTGCGACAGTGAGGGGTGACCAGGGAAGCCTATATGAGGGGCGGGGGCAAACCAAGGCAGCCTGGGAGCTGCCTTAACCACCTCTCACCTCACTTCCTCAGAGATAAGGTTTTCTTGAAGGGAACGTGCAGATTTATACAAAATACTAACAAGCTGAGATTTTAATTTTTTAAGCAATAAGGAAAAACAGAACTTTTCACTCCAAAGACCCTGTGTTAGGCTCGGCAGAACTGGTGGCACATCTCAGGAGTCATGGGGCAATGCTCTCAGAAACAATGTTAGGGAAAAAAAAAAAAAAACGAAAAACAATGAAGAGGCTTAATTCTTCTTGTTAAAGGAAGAGGTATCCTCTGTCCCTTTTCTTAGAGCATTTTGTTTGGAAAACTTGTCATTTTAAATCCTTCCTCTGCCCCTTTGAGGGGCATGCAAAGCTTTTTGACAGCTAAATAAGCCTCTTGCCAGCTTTGCAACCCAGGACTGTGTTCCTGAAGGACCTGGGATCCCAATCTTTGAAACGTTATCATCAGAGCAGCCAGGTCCCTATCTCCCAGTCTCCATGGGAGGGCAGGAACCTAACTTTTGCCCTGTGTGATAAATCTACCTCCTATCATAAAGATAAGGGTTGTTTTTCCTTTGTATGAAGTCAAATAGCAGACGCAGGTTGTCGAGTGAATTGAGGTTGAATCTCTGTAAACTCGGTGTGACCAAAAGTGCTGTGCAGGCCCCCTGACCTGAGGACTAGGCATGGCTTCTCTTGAGAACGTGTGCAATGGTTTGGACCCACTGGCTAGATTAGCGGTGAGATTTCTGTCTGTCTTTGCAGCTTCTTAGCGGATCATTGCCCGTGATGCGCATCTCACTCTGGGTTAATCCTTTTTCAAGGATAAAAGTGTTTTTCTTTCTCTTCTTCCTCTGCAGAGAGGCTTGCTGGGATGGGAGAAGATTTTATTTGTAATTCCATTTCTCCACGACCAGAGGATGGGCTCTGGGGGTCAGGCAGCTGGGAAGGAGTTTAGAACCCATGCCTAGGCCTTCCCCAAGGCTCATGCACTCAGTTCCCTCAGTTCAGCAGTAGCAGAAACACTATCTGGAAGACCCCATACTGTCTGGAAAGAGGAACTCATTTTCTTTCATTGCTGACACTCCTGGATGACTGTGTGTGGCGGTTACCCATACCCTAGTCCCACCCTGTGCCCCCTCTCCACCTCAGGGGGCCCCAAGAGCCCTGGCCCTGCTAGTCCAGAGCACCCCCAAGGGAGACTGGGGTTGGGGGTCCCACCAGGGTGCCAGGTGTTGGTCAAGGTGAATGTGAACTAGGAGGAAGGAGATGGAGCCCTCTCCTGGGAACCGGACAGGGACAGGGATGGGGTGGGGGTGCCCAGGAAGCCATGGCTCTGGGCTGGGGCCGCCAACCTGCCCAGGCAACTGGGGCTGACTCCTTGAAGTTGCATTTCTGACTCCCCCTCCCACGTGCAGGCTCTTGGCCCACTGGAGGCCCACTGGAGGCCACAGTGGCAGGTTCACTGTGGGCGGGGGTGGGGGGGATGGGGTGCCCTGGGGAGCTGGGGGTTCCTGTGGAGCAGGGGTATGGGTCCCACCCTGGCCACCCCGTCTGCCCAGGCTCCACATGTGCCCCCTGGTCCCCCTGGAAAGACCCTTCTCTGTCCCGCTGGTGCACCCCTCCCCCAACTGGGCCTCCACCAAGAAGAAGGGCCCGAGTTCTGCCGAGGCGTCCCTCTGAGTGACCACCCACACCTGAAGCCATCAGTCAGGTCCCTGCACAGGAGCCACCCCTGAGCCTGTGCTCCCCCACCCCTGGCTGGCTGCATCTGGGCTCCAGATACGTGTCCCCCACCCAGACCCCATTGCTGGGTTAGGCCCTTCTTGCCACCCCTCAGCTCTTCTCCCTAGGGAACAGCATCATTGCCAACTTCTCATATCCTGTCATTGTCCACCAGGAGAGCTGGGGCGGGGGACCCCGCTTGTGCATAACTGGCCTCAGGCAGCCGACCTGGGGCTCCACAGCTCTTGCTGCCGCTGGAAGTTGGGCCAAGGCTGGTGGCACACACAGGTGTGTTCCTGCTGTTGGGATCACCAGACAAGGCTGCTTCGCCTTGGGCCGATCTTTTGCCCCGGACCACTCAGCCCTAGGTACTTTAGGCCAATCTGCTGATCAAGGCCATAAGTGCCTCATAACCAATCAGCAGGGTACCTTCCCGGCAGCCTCAAGGGTGACTAGGTTTCTACCACACCCTGATCCCAGGCCTTCCTCTCAGCCAGTCCTACCCAGAACACCCTATTTCACAGTGCACTTCACCCCTAGCCTACCTGGCCATTCCCTATCCCCATAGCTGGCTCTAAGTTTTCTTATCACCTCTAACCTGCTCTAAATGCTAAGGATATGCATCTGTTGTTGATTTGTATTTAGTAGGCTCTGCAAGCAGGGATCTTTGGCTCTTCGGTTCACTCATGTATGTTAAGTGCCCAGAACAAGCCTGACAGATATTAGGTGCTCGGTAAGTGCGTGTTGAGTGAGTAAACAACAGACAGCCAGTTTGGGTATTCCCAGTAGGGCAGGAACAGAGAAGAGACACGTTTTATTGGGAAGCTAACAAATCTTAAGCTTCAAAGTTCCTCTTTCCCCTGCACCAGCACCTTACAAAAAAAAAAAAACCTACTGTGGTTTTACAATTTATATTTTGCAAACAGGCTCTGAAATGTATTTACCTCAGGCTCCAAAAAACCTGGATCTTCCTTGAGGGCAGTGCTGCCTACTGGATGAAATACAGATTTTAGAGTCAGAGTTGGGTTCAAATCCTAGCTCTGCCTCCTGCAGGTGTCTTAACCTCTCTGACCCCCCTCTCCTAATTTGTGCAAGGGAATAATATCCCCACATGTGTAAGACTCAACAGGGTGGGAAGGGCACATTTGTATCTAACCTGAATATTAATATATGCATTCCACAGTTTCTTTTGTATGTATCCATTATAACATAATTTTAAAAACTGATGACACGATCTGGTTTTCAAAACCTTTCTTTATTATTTGTGGAATAAAGTTCATGGTACAAATATCAACAGAGTCGAAGGCTTCTGTGATGGGTCAAGTGAGATGGGGCCTGGGAAGTGACTGATATTGACCACAGGATGCAGCAACATGGGGATGACTGATGACCTTGACAGGAGCAGCGTTGGTTCAGTGGTCCCCAAAGACCTCCTGACAGGGGAAGGTTTCACAGGAGAGGAACTGGAGCTGAGTGCAGAGGACACCATGGAGCAGTTTTGCCACAGAGTGAAACAGGGAGATGCCTGGCAGCTGCAGAGGAGGGTGCAGTCAAAAAGATTTGTTACAGAACTGCCGTTTGACTCAGCAATCCTATTACTAGGTATATATCCAGAGAAATAGAAATCGTTCTACCATAGAGATGCATGTGAATGTTCATTGCAGCAGTATTCACAATAGCAAAGACATGCAGTCAACCTAAATGCCCATTAATGACAGATTGGATAAAGAAAAGGTGGTACATATACACCGTGGAATACTATGCACCCATTAAAAAGAACAAGATCATGTATTTTGCAGGAACATGGATGGAGCTGGAGGCCCTTATCTTTACCAAACTAACACGGGAACAGAAAACCAGGCTGGGTGCGGTGGCTCACGCCTGTAATCCCAGCACTTTGGGAGGCCGAAGTGGGTGGATCACCTGGGGTCGGGAGTTTGCGACCAGCCTGACCAACATGGAGAAACCCCGACTCTACTAAAAATTAAAAAAATTAGCCAGGTTTGGTGGTGAATGCCTGTAATCCCAGCTACTTTGGAGGCTGAGGCAGGAGAATCACTTGAACCCAGGAGGCAGAAGCTGCGGTGAGCTGAGATCACGCCATTGCACTCCAGCCTGGGCAACAAAAGGGAAACTCAGCCTCAAAAAAAGGAAAAAAAAAAATCAAACACCATGTGTTCTCACTCATAAGTGGGAGCTAAATGATGAGAACTTATGAACACAAAGAAGGAAACAACAGACACTGGGGCCTTCCCCAGGGTGGAGAGTGGGAGGAGGGAGAGGAGCAGAAAAATAATTTTGAGTACTAGTCTTAGTACCTGGGTAATGAAATAATCTGTACCATAAACCCCCATGACATGAATTCACCAATATAACAAACCTGCACCTGTACCCCTGAACCTAAAATAAGAGTTAAAGTAAAATAAGGTTTTGCTTCCTGGGATGTAGGTGAAATAATTGTTTGCTGAAGAGATCCAGAGGCAAGCCAAATAGTGACGGTATAGGGGTGGGGATACCTTTGGGACGGTGCTCTTGACTGGTTGGGAGGGGCTGGCCCGTATGAGACAGTCAAGCAAAAGGGGCAGGCAGGAATGTGAACAGGGACTGACAGTGTGTTATGTGCTGGGCTTGGCAGAAGTTCTCTCCATTGCCTCTTCTGTTGTGTCTTGGTTTTTAACAATGAACTAGGAAAGGATATTACCAACTAAGAGTGAGGGTCAGAGAAGAGGCATTGTTCTTTGAGGGGGAGAGAAATGATAAGCCGTTGTCCAGTAGTTGCCTCTTCTGTTCAGTAAGGACAGAATCTGACAGGGTGGAGCTGGGGGAGAAGAAGAAAGCCAATGAGGAGCCAGTTCTGTGATGAAACTTACAGGCTTCCAGGCTCAGTATCACCCTACGGCATCTGAACTCCATCCTTATCTATTACCCAGGATTCTTCTATACCCCATAGAAAGCACCCCTTGCACTCGGACACGCACAGGAAGGCAGTTGCTAATTGGAGGGAAGACTCACTCACACTGTCCCCGGGCCCCACTCCAAAGATGGCCAGTGCAGCTCTCTCACCTCCATTACCTCCGAATGGTGCTCTCACTCACAGCCCAGAAGAGCAGGCTGACCTCCACATGGAGCTACCTCATTTCCACTCCTCACTGCTGGCTGCTGCCTCCACGGACCCTCTAAAACCACCCCTGGTAAGATCATCAGGGGCCTCCTAACTGCCAAGTACCAGGAATGCTTTATAGTCCTCAAACATGCTGAATGCTGAGGGAGTTCCTCCATTCATACAGCTGCTTGCAGTACCTGGGTGCTATGGACTGAATATGTCCCCCCAAAACTCCTATGTTGAAACCTCATCCCCAAGGTGATGGTATTCAGAGGTGGGGTCTTGGGAGGTGATTAGGTCGTGAGGATGAAGTCTTCACATATGGGATCAGTGCCCTTACAGAAAGGCCCAAGGGAGCTTGTTTGCCCCTTCTGCCATGTGAGGATACACAGAAGGTACCATCTATGAGGAACAGGTCCTCACCAGACATAAATCTACTGGCACTTTAATCTTGGATTCCCAGCCTCCAGAGCTGTGAGAAATAAATTTCTGTTTACAAGCTAAATGTAAAGTGTTGACCAGTTTATGGTAATTGTGTTACAGCAGCCCGAATGGACTAAGGCACTGGAGTCAGTCCAAGAGCTTAGATGTAAGGGAAATAAGATCAGAGCAGAGAGGTGCAAGAGACTGGCTCCTACCAGAGCAACTAAGAGTCAGGCAAATAATGTCAACTGAGGAGGTTTCTGGGTCCAGCAGCCACCCAACTGCTGTAACACATGGCTCTTCATTTCATACCCCCTTCTCTCCTGGTCTGTCTTTCCCTCTTTGATGGTTCTTTTTCAAGCTTTCATTTTGAGTGTTCCTCAAATGGAAGCTTTCCTCAAAACAGAAAAGTTCATGTTTCCTTCCTAATAATTAATAGGAAAAAAATGCCAAATGGATAGAATGGACTCTGGATAAGAATGGAGAATTTTTAAAGAAGAAGCAAATATGGTTTATGAATATATTTTAAAAGTGTACAAAAAAGAATATACAAAAACTCACTAGAAATCAAATAAAAATCAAAATACTATCTAGGTTTTACCTATCATTATGGTAAAGAATTAAAAGAATGGTATGAGCTAATGTAGGACAAGCACAAAGAAATGTGCAGACACACACACTTTTGATGGAATACTGAAATGGGAGATCCTTGCTGGAGAATCATTACACAGCATGTCAAAATCCTTTTTTTAAATCAAAATAGAGTCTCACCCCATTGCTCAGGCCAGAGTGCAGTGGCAAGGTCATAACTCACTGTAACCTCAAACTTACAGGTTCAAGTGATCCTCTGCCCTTGTCCTCCCAAGCAGCTGGGACTACAGGCACCCACCACCACAACTGGCTAATTAAAAAAAAGGTTTTTTTTAGAGACGGGGTCTTGCTATATTGACCAGGCTGGTCCCTAATCCTTGGGCTTAAGCAGTCTTCCCACACACTGAGATTACAGGAGTGAGCCACCCTGCTCGACCTCAAAATCCTTTGAAAAGACTTGATCCAAATTCAACTTCTAGGGTTAGAGCTCAAGAAAGTAACTGGTCAAATGTGCAAAGATGTTTGTATAAGGATGTTTATCACTGTAAAGTTTATTGACACAGAAGCAACCTAAAGTGCAACAAGAGGGGACTGGCTGAATAAATCCTGCTCTATTTCTGTAGCACAGTACCTCACAGCCATGACCAATGCTGATGAGGGTTTACTGACATGAAAAACATTGCCCAACTATAGCAACAAGCAAGAAAAGATTATAAAACAATATGTTTGGATTTATTTTTGGAAAAATGGTATTGAAAAATGATATCCACAAACAAGCATGCAGAGAGAAAAGTCTGAGTGGTTCCACCAAATGTTGGTAGCAGTTACCTCTGAAAAGAGGAATTGTGGGGGATTCTCTGCATAAAAGATAAACTCTGAAGGTCTTTGCACATTCTAGGCACTTGGCCCTGCTTTCAGACAGTGAAACTGAATCTTGGAAGTCTAAAGGGACTCAGGGACTCAAGTGTGATTGTGAGCTCCTAAAGGTAAGACCCGCGTCCGGTTTTATTATTTCAATTAATCCAATTAATGTGCACAATTCAGTGGCATTTAGTACATTCACAATGTTGTGCAACGACCACCCCTTTCTGGTTCCGAATCATTTTTATCACTGCAAAAGGAAATTCCTTGTTTATTAAGTGGTTCCCCCTTATTTCCCTCTCTCCCCAATCCCTGGCAACCTAATCTGCTTTCTGTCTCTATGGATTTATTTATCGTGGATGTTTCATATAAATGGAATTGTACAATATCTGACCTTTTATGTGTGGCTTCTTTCAGTTAATGTTTTCAGAATTCATTCGTGTTGCATCATGCATCAGTATTTCATTCCTTTTTAGGGCTCAAAATTCCATGTATGTTTATACCGCACTTTGTTTATCCATTCATTCATTGATGGACATTAAGGTTGTTTCTATCTTTTGGTTATTGTGAATGATGCTGCTGTGAACATTCACATACAAGCAGTTATTTGAATACCTATTATCAATTCTTTCAATGTATACCTAGGAGCGAAATTACTGGTTCATATTTTAATCCTGTTTTTGTTTTTTATTTTTGTTTTTTTTGTTTTTTTTTTTTTTGGTGGAGATGGGGATCTCACTATGTTACCCAGGCTGGTATCAAACTCCTGGGCTCAAGTGATCCTCCAGCCTGGGTCTCCAGAAGTCCTGAGATTACACGTCTGAAAGATGCTGTGCCCAGCCAGTAATATGTTTTAGAATCAGGAAGTGTGAGTCCTCCAACATTGTTGTAGTGTGAGTCCTCCAACATTGTTGTTCTCTTTCAAAATTGTTTTGGCTATCCAGGATATCTTATGATTTTTACAGATTTATTGCCATTTCCAATCTTTTTTTATTACTATGTAATATATGTTTCTTTTTTTCTTTTCTTTTTTTTTTTTTTTTTTTGGAGACTGAGTCTCGCTCTGTCACCCAGGCTGGAGTGCAGTGGCACGATCTTGACTCACTGCAACCTCCACCTCCCAGGTTCAAGCGATTCTCTTGCCTCAGCCTCCTGAGCAGCTGGGATTACAGGTGCCCGCCACCATGCCTGGCTAATTTTTGTATTTTTAGTAGAGATGGGGTTTCACCATGTTGGTCAGGCTGGTCTCGAACTCCTGACCTCATGATCTGCCTGCCTCAGCCTCCCAAAGTGCTGGGATTACAGGTGTGAGCCACCGCGCCCAGCCATAATGTATGCTTCTTTGAGCTGTTTTTCTGATAACTTAGTAGCCATGTAATCTAATTAACTGATATGCTTCAACCACTTTCTCAATCTATCACTCTCAGACACGAAACAGTATCTATTGACTCTATCATATGAAAAATTAACATCCCCATCAGAGTTGTTCCAAGCCCCACGAATACAGCCAGGATTTTTTTGTCTTATCATCTTGCAAGAGCTCAGGTCCTATCCAACTACAACAATTACAGATACATGGCAGCATGTTCACATTGTCTCAGGCTTCCCCCAACTACATCTGAACAGTTTGAATTGGATTAAAAAGGGCTCCTGGAGACTTGTAGGCTTGCTTATCCTGTGGGTAACTGACATTGGTTGCAGTAATGATACCAAGGTTTCTTTTCTTTTTCCAGGTAGGAAAACATGTGATTTGCTCTATTTCATCGTCTACCAGTAGTTTCTTGTGCTCAAAGTCTGCACTTTGCAACAAGCACAAATTAAATAAGAGCATACATGCAAAACAATTACTTAAATTCAAACTTTTCCATTGAAATACAAATGGCTCTTAAATATGTAAGATACGCAACCTCTCTCAAATGAAGATTAAAACTGTATCCAACTGCCTTTTTTCACCAGATTATCAAAAATTCAAATTTGATGGCAAGAGTGTAGGGAAATAGAGTCCCTTATATATTCTTGTGGGAGTAGAAGTTGGTTCATTGTGAAAGGTAATTTAACAGTTCCTATCTAAATTACTTTCGCCCAGAATTTTATTTTTATTTTTGAAACAGGGTCTCACTCTGTCACCAAGGCTGGAGTGCAGTGGCATGATCTTAGCTCACTGCAGCCTCCGTCTCCCAGGCTCAAGTGATCCTCCCACCTCAGCCTCCTGAGTAGCTGGGAGTACAGGCATGTGCCACCACCCGGCTAATTTTTGTATTTTTTGGTAGAGACGAGGTTTCACCATATTGCACAGGCTAGTCTCGAACTCCTGAGCTCAAGTGATCTGCCTGCCTCGGCCTCCCAAAGTGCTGGGATTACAGGTGTGAGCCACTGCACCCAGCTCACCCAGCATTTTTACTTTTGGAATTTATGATATACTGTGCACATGTGGAATTTAAGCTATAGATACTTGCATATGTGCAAAATAGTGTACAAAATTAACGACTGAAGCAGTTTGTTATAGCAGAAAATTAAAACAGTTTATCTGTCCATCAGTAGACAAACTGTTAAATAAATTACTGTATATCCAGATAATGAAGTCCTACATAGAATGAGGAAGGTCTGTCTATACCAGTATGGAAAGATCTCCAAGACACATAATTTAAAAAAAAATCAAAAGTGCAGAGCAGTGTGTATCATACTACAACTTGCGTTTTTTTAACAAATAAAGGAGGGAAGAGAATTGCTTGAATGTAAAACAATTCTCTGAAATCCTGTAGGGTTGTGAACAGAGTGAATGGAGAACAGGAGTGGAAGGGAAGCTTTTCCAATGATGCCTTTCTACACACTTTAAATTTTATCAAACGCAAGTAAACCTCCCTCTTGATTGCCTTCTCCTCTTGGGTCCTGTCTTTACTTCTGTCCACCACTTCCTTACCGGGGTGACTGCCGGCAGGACTTGGGGTTTGTCTTTCCCACTTGGCATCTAAATCGAAATCCTTTACCCTTTGAGCCCATATTAGTTCTTCTTTCCCGCTAATGTCTAAACTGACCTAGAAATAAAAAACTTTTCTTCCTCCCTCTCCCCCTCCTTCCTTCTCTTTCTCTCCTTCTCCTCCCATCCCTCACCCCACACAAAGGCATTCTGTGTGTGAAACATTAAAAAGGGTTCCCTTCCTTACTTGAATAAACCTGCCCACTCAGCCTCAAGGCTGCTCCCAGAGATGTCCTCGGGTAACTTGGAGACTGTGAACAGTGCCAAAAAACACACAATATCATGATAACTTCCCAGACTCCAAGTTCCAGTGAGGCTAAACTAGAAGAGGACAGTGATGTGACTGCTTCTTGGTCAGAAGAAAAACTTGAAGTGAAAGTGCTCTTTGTTTCCTGGGGACAAAAGTTAAAAAGGAACAAGGAGAATTCCCGTGAAGGTCAGTTTCTCCTTCCAGATTTTGTGGCAGAGAAACTAGTGAATTTCAAGTTCCTTGTGTTAAGTAAGTTTAGCCTACTGCTTCCTTACATATTTTAAATTCGTCCTAAAGGGTTCTCTGTACTCCACAAACTGTAACCTAAATGGGCTTGTAAATGGACTATAGCCTACTCTTTGCCACTCACCATGTTTTGACCAATCAAAGGTGGCCCAGTGTTCAAACCATGTTCAAATAAGGCAAACGTCGAGCTGGAACCAATCCGGCTGTTTCTGTGGCTTACTTCCACCTTCCATACACTGCTTATCATTTTGTGTCCATAAATCATCTTCCACCACATGGGTGCACTGGAGTCTCTGAGCCTATTCTGGCTCAGGAGGCCGCCTGATTCACGAATCATTTTTTGCTCAAAGTCTTTTAAATTTAATTTGGCTAAAGTTTTTCTTTTAACACCTACAATGCTAAGATTCTTTGTTTCCAAGTGACACTGTGTGGACTCACCTACCCCCAGCCACCACCTTGTCAGGTTTTCAAAGTATCCAGCACTGCAGTTCCACAGTCATCCCTGCAGTGAAACCAGACTCAAGGGCACCCTGTGGCCACTGACAGCTGAGACCCCTGAGAGCCTGTATTACATGCATGTCCTTGATGAAAGCTGGGTGGGGCTGTAAAAAAGTGAAAAATCTGTTTTCCTTCTAAAAACTATTTCCTGCAGGAATTTCCTGGTTTGTTCCTGTGGAAAATATGGAGTCTAGATCGAAGAAGGAAAACATGCCTCTAGGGAGGCCACATGCCCAAGACTTGTGGCCCTGGCGTCTCCTGGTTTGAACTCCTTGGCGTCCCTGGTTTGAACCACACATTTCTTGGGGAAATCTCTAAGTCTGGGAGACAGAGCTAGGCCTCCCTGCACGCCTTTACGCCAGGCCTGGGGAAGAGAGAGGAAACCATCTGAGTGCCTGCATGGCTTCCAGCCTTGCAGGAACAGGGAGACCTGCTTAAGGGTGTGTCTTTCCGCGTTTGCCCATGAGGAAGCAGGCCTCTGCCACTGGGAGAAGGTAGCATGAGAAAGACCTGCATTGGAATCTGGCTCCATGCCTTTCTAGCTGTGTGACCTTGGGCATGTCACTTAACCTCTCTGAGCCTCCACTTCTTCATCTATAGAACAGGGGAGAAGAAAACCTGCCTTCTAGAGTTGTTTTGAAGATTGAATGAAATAACTTTTATAAAGCCTTGATAGATGAACTACCCACCCCTCCTCCCTCTGTTCCCTTTTCCTGGCTCTCTCAGCTTCTTGGTGCATTGAGGGGGCACCTACCGCAGGCAGGCCACATATCCAACACTTTAGTCCTTCTCCAGGGACCATACATCACAGAAATCCTGTGTCCAAGCACAAGTTTCAGCAAAGACTCCTTCCCCCTTGATAACAAGTGTTTAGGTTGCTGACGGGGCATAAGAGCCAAGCACAAAAAACAGCCCAGCCTCCAGATCCCAAGGAAGGTGCATGCTCAGAGCACTGTCCTTCCACCCAGTCCCCTCACCTGTCACCACAAGAGCCTTGAGCGTCCATGGAGCTTCAGCTCTCAGCCACTCATTGGCATCCAGGAGATAGTGTCCAGGACCCGTCCATCCCTGGAAAGCAGGCTGGCTGCCCCCTCATTGCTTGGCTCCTTAATTTTTGATAATCATAAACCCTAGGGTCAAAGAGCTGGGCTGTAACACAATAGGGAGTGCATTCCCCAGTGTATTCCCCCGTGTGGTCACAGGGAATGAGCCTGGAGCAAGGGAGCCCAGCAGGCTGAGAATCTGCAGTGTGCTGGGCCTGGGCTTGGCATGAAGGCACGAGATGTCGGAGGCGTGGCTGCCACCCAGGAGGACACACCTGATGGGGCTCCAGGAACAGGACAATGGTGGAGACGTCACATCCAGAATAACTTTGTTAGGAGACTGAACTTGACAGTCAGGAGTTTTACATTGCAGGTATCAAAAAGCCACCTAAAATTGCCTTAAGTAATAGAGGTGATCTAATGGCTCAAAAAACCACCAACTCTAGGAAGACAGACAGGGTGACCTGAAAGTGGGTTTCACCTGGTGTTTTTCTGCCATTCTGTGCATGGCGTCAGCTTCCTCCCAAGACTGGCACTGCATAGGACATCGGGTGTTTGCCAACCCAGTTGAAGCTCTCTGCTTCCTTGCTCACCACCAGCAGAAAGGTGAGGGCTATGCCCTGCATTCCAGGTGACAGGGAAGGTTTACATCGGGACTCAGTCACACTTTCTGGGTACTGTACATTTCATAGCAGGAGCCAGGTTATACTAAAGGAGTCCTGGCCTGAGGATACCAGCACCCTATAGAGATGGAGAACCCCAGGCAGCTCAGGGGCTGAGGGGCTGAGTGACAGTGAGCACTGCCCACAGAGGGGGCACTCTGAAGTCAGGAGGGGTGGGAAACAGGTGCAGATCGGCAGCCGGCAGAGGCCCACCCAGGTGAGCACAGGTGGACCTGATGGTGGATGGGGACAAAGAGTGTGCTGGTTGGGAGGAGAAGGCGGGGGCCTGTAGCTGGTCTGGGAATTCCCAAGCTGAGCAAACGGTATGTCAAGGCCTGTGGTTGGGCTTGTTAACATAAACACCACACTCTTAAATGATCTGTAAGAGGTATCTTCTGAGCCAATATGAGTGACCATGGCCTGGGGATCTCAAGAGGTCCTGAAAACGTGTGCCGGGGCCGTCGTTTTCTACATTTGAGGGGACAGGAATTGGAGTAACATCATAAATCAATCCATGGAAGGTGTACATTGACTCGGCCTAACAAGGTGGGATATCTTGAAGTCGGGGGTGTTATAGGTCATAGGTGGATTCAAAGATTTTCCGATTGGCAATTGGTTGAGAGTTCAGCTTTGTCTAAAGACGTGAAGTTGGTACAAAGGAATGCTTCAGTTCAGAGAGAGGGTCTGCCTCTGCCACGTGATGCTGTCCCAGAGTCAGGTAGGAAAGTCAGCCACAGTATCCTCAGTGATTTTACAACCCATTGAAGGAGACTCTGTGGTTTCTAGGTGTGTGTTAATTCTTGCCTTGCATGGCCTCAGGTCTTGTTCATAATCTGTAACTGATTGTCCAGAGTCCAGTCTGAATAATCTAACTATGCCTATTTTATACTCCAAAGGTGCAGGGCTTTCATGAGGTGTCTCTGACCTCCCCTTCCACCATGGCCAGGAATTCATTTTCAAGTTTCCCTGGGGTCCCCTTGACTAAGAGGGGGCCTGTTCCATTGGTTGGGGTCTCAGGATTGCAGGCCTTAGGGCAGCCTCACAGCATGGTGCAGGGCGCTTGGTTGGGTTTTCCTGAACCCTGAACCCCATGGCTCATAGGATAAGGGAACTGTGGGCCACCCGGATTCTGCTGAGATTCCTTTCCCCAGGTGCAGATGCGGGTTTGGCCTTGGCCCTTTCTGTTCCTTTCAGAAGCCCACGGAGTGGAGGACAGAACGGTTTGGGGTCAGGGACAGAGGCTCCTGTCACTGAGACTGCCCTCAGTGGGACAGAGGGAAGAGACTATTGATGCAGTTCGTCTGCCTCTCTGTGACACTGATGTGTAGGCCCAGTAATTAAAGTCCACTCCTGGCAGCCAGCCTTGAACATAGAACTGATCGGCCACACAGAAAACCTGAAACAAAGCCTCTAAAATGCAGCCTCTCAAAAACGCTCACAGGAGTTTTCTTAATCAGACTTAGCGTAGCCAGTGAGCTTCTGTTGCCTGCGGTGACGTGGGTGCTATTGTTCCCACTAAAAGCCCAGACCTCTGCCTCAGGAGACAGGGCTCAGCTGCAGCCTCCTCAACTAAAACATGAAGGGCTGCTTCGTGGGCGCCAAAGCGGCTCCTTAAACTCGCAATGGTGTGCAAATTTATGGGCTCACTTTCTACATCAGATCTTCAAAGGTCTCTGTGATTCCAAAAGCTTGGGAACTATTAAATTTGATCATTTCTGAAATGTCTTCCAGTTTAAAAGTCTTCAGTTCCAGTTCATTTTCAATTCCTGAATAAAGGGATGAGTCTTGGAGCTTCTGGAAGCTGGCCTGGAACTGAGCACTTGCTGCAGACAATGCCTGAAGTGCAAACCCAAAGGTGCGTGGATCTGGGCTGCATGTGAAAGCTTTCATATTCAGGTCTTACTTTGCGACAGTGAGGGGTGACCAGGGAAGCCTATATGAGGGGCAGGGGCAAACCAGCAGCCCAGCCTGGGGAGGTGCCTTAACCACATCTCACCTCACTTCCTCGAGCTAAAGTTTTCTTTAAGGGAAATGCAGGTTTATGCAAAATACTAAGCAAGCTGAGTGGCTGGTTTTTTTTTTTTTTTTTTAAAGCAATAAGGAAAAAACAGAAATTTTCACACCAAAGACCCTGTGTTGGGCTCGGAAGAACTGGTGGCTTAACTGAGGAGTCACGGAACACTGCTCTCGGAAACTGTTAGGGCAATTGAAAAAAAAAAAAAAGAATAAAGACAATGAAGAGGCTTAATTCTCCCTGTTAAAAACAAGGGAAGCGGAGGGCAGCCAAGATGGCCGAATAGGAACAGCTCTGGTCTACAGCTCCCAGCGTGAGTGACGCAGAAGACGGGTGATTTCTGCATTTCCATCTAAGGTACCAGGTTCATCTCACTAGGGAGTGCCAGACAGTGGGCACAGGACAGTGGGTGCAGTGCACTGTGCATGAGCTGAAGCAGGGTGACGCATTGCCTCACTCGGGAAGCGCAAGGGATCAGGGAGTTCCCTTTCCTAGTCAAAGAAAGGGGTGACAGACAGCACCTGGAAAATCGGGTCACTCCCACCCTAATACTGCGCTTTTCCGATGGGCTTAAAAAACGGCGCACCAGGAGATTATATCCCGCACCTGGCTCGGAGGGTCCTACGCCCACAGAGTCTCGCTGATTGCTAGCACAGCAGTCTGAGATCAAACTGCAAGGTGGCAGCGAGGCTGGGGGAGGGGTGCCCACCATTGCCCAGGCTTGCTTAGGTAAACAAAGCAGCCGGGAAGCTCAAACTGGGTGGAGCCCACCACAGCTCAAGGAGGCCTGCCTGCTTCTGTAGGCTCCACCTCTGGGGGCAGGGCACAGACAAACAAAAAGACAGCAGTAACCTCTGCAGACTTAAATGTCCCTGTCTGACAGCTTTGAAGAGAGCAGGGGTTCTCCCAGCACGCAGCTGGAGATCTGAGAACGGGCAGACTGCCTCCTCAAGTGGGTCGGGTCCCTGACCCCTGACCCCCGAGCAGCCTAACTGGGAGGCACCCCCCAGTAGGGGGTACTGACTGACACCTCACATGGCCGGGTACTCCTCTGAGACAAAACTTACAGAGGAACGATCAGACAGCAGCATTTGTGGTTCACGAAAATCCGCTATTCTGCAGCCACTGCTGCTGATACCCAGGGAAACAGGGTCTGGAGTGGACCTCTAGCAAACTCCAACAGACCTGCAGCTGAAGGTCCTGTCTGTTAGAAGGAAAACTAACAAACAGAAAGGACAACCACACCAAAAACCCATCTGTACATCACCATCATCAAAGACCAAAAGTAGATAAAACCACAAAGATGGGGAAAAAACAGAGCAGAAAAACTGGAAACTCTAAAAAGCAGAGTGCCTCTCCTCCTCCAAAGGAACGCAGTTCCTCACCAGCAACGGAACAAAGCTGGAAGGAGAAGGACTTTGACGAGTTGAGAGAAGAAGGCTTCAGACGATCAAACTACTCTGAGCTACAGGAGGAAATTCAAACCAAAGGCAAAGAAGTTAAAAACTTTGAAAAAAATTTAGACGAATGTATAACTAGAATAACCAATACAGAGAAGTGCTTAAAGGAGCTGATGGAGCTGAAAGCCAAGGCTCGAGAACTATGTGTAGAATGCAGAAGCCTCAGGAGCCGATTTGATCAACTGGAAGAAAGGGTATCAGTGATGGAAAATGAAATGAATGAAATGAAGTGAGAAGGGAAGTTTAGAGAAAAAAGAATAAAAAGAAATGAACAAAGCCTCCAAGAAATATGGGACTATGTGAAAAGACCAAATCTACGTCTGATTGGTGTACCTGAAAGTGACGGGGAGAACGGAACCAAGTTGGAAAACACTCTGCAAGATATTATCCAGGAGAACTTCCCCAATCTAGCAAGGCAGGCCAACATTCAGATTCAGGAAATACAAGAACGCCACAAAGATACTCCTCGAGAAGAGGAACTCCAAGACACATAATTGTCAGATTCACCAAAGTTGAAATGAAGGAAAAAATGTTACGGGCAGCCAGACAGAAAGATCGGGTTACCCACAAAGGGAAGCCCATCAGACTAACAGCTGATCTCTCGACAAAAACTCTACAAGCCAGAAGAGAGTGGGGGCCAATATTCAACATTCTTAAAGAAAAGAATTTTCAACCCAGAATTTCATATCCAGCCAAACTAAGCTTCATAAGTGAAGGAGAAATAAAATACTTTACAGACAAGCAAATGCTGAAAGATTTTGTCACCACCAGGCCTGCCCTAAAAGAGCTCCTGAAGGAAGCACTAAACATGGAAAGGAACAACCGGTACCAGCCATTGCAAAATCATGCCAAATTGTAAAGAACATTGAGGCTAGGAAGTAACTGCATCAACTAACGAGCAAAATAACCAGCTAACATCATAATGACAGGATCAAATTCACATATAACAATATTAACTTTAAATGTAAATGGACTAAATGCTCCAATTAAAAGACACAGACTGGCAAATTGGATAAAGAGTCAAGACCCATCAGTGTGCTGTATTCAGGAAACCCATCTCACGAGCAGAGACACACATAGACTCAAAATAAAAGGATGGAGGAAGATCTACCAAGCAAATGGAAAACAAGAAAAGGCAGGGGTTGCAATCCTAGTCTCTGATAAAACAAACTTTAAACCAACAAAGATCAAAAGTGACAAAAAAGGCCATTACATAATGGTAAAGGGATCAATTCAACAAGAAGAGCTAACTGTCTTAAATATATATGCACCCAATACAGGAGCACCCAGATTCATAAAGCAAGTCCTGAGTGACTTAGACTTCCACACAATAATAATGGGAGACTTTAACACCCCACTGTCAACATTAGACAGATCAACGAGACAGAAAGTTAACAAGGATACCCAGGAATTGAACTCAGCTCTGCACCAAGCGGACCTAATAGACATCTACAGAACTCTGCACCCCAAATCAACAGAATATACATTTTTTTCAGCACCACACCACACCTATTCCAAAATTGACCACATAGTTGGAAGTAAAGCTCTCCTCAGCAAATGTAAAAGAACAGAAATTATAACAAACTGTCTCTCAGACCACAGCACAATCAAACTAGAACTCAGGATTAAGAAACTCACTCAAAACTGCTCAACTACATGGAAACTGAACAACCTGCTCCTGAATGACTACTGGGTACATTACGAAAGGAAGGCAGAAATAAAGATGTTCTTTGAAACCAACGAGAACAAAGACACAACATACCAGAATCTCTGGGACACATTCAAAGCAGTATGTAGAGGGAAATTTATAGCACTAAATGCCCACAAGAGAAAGCAGGAAAGATCCAAAATTGACACCCTAACATCACAATTAAAAGAACTAGAGAAGCAAGAGCAAACACATTCAAAAGCTAGCAGAAGGCAAGAAATAACTAAAATCAGAGCAGAACTGAAGGAAATAGAGACACAAAAAACCCTTCAAAAAATTAATGAATCCAGGAGCTGGTTTTTTGAAAGGATCAACAAAATTGATAGACCGCTAGCAAGACTAATAAAGAAGAAAAGAGAGAAGAATCAAATAGACACAATAAAAAATGATAAAGGGGATATCACCACCGATCCCACAGAAATACAAACTACCATCAGAGAATACTACAAACACCTCTACGCAAATAAACTAGAAAATCTAAAAGAAATGGATAAATTCCTCGACACATACACCCTCCCAAGACTAAACCAGGAAGAAGTTGAATCTCTGAATAGACCAATAACAGGCTCTGAAATTGTGGCAATAATCAATAGCTTACCAAACAAAAAGAGTCCAGGACCAGATAGATTCACAGCCGAATTCTACCAGAGGTACAAGGAGGAACTGGTACCATTCCTTCTGAAACTATTCCAATCAATAGAAAAAGAGGGAATCCTCCCTAACTCATTTTATGAGGCCAGCATCATCCTGATACCAAAGCCGGGCAGAGACACAACAAAAAAAGAGAATTTTAGACCAATATCCTTGATGAACATTGATGCAAAAATCCTCAATAAAGTACTGGCAAACCGAATCCAGCAGCACATCAAAAAGCTTATCCACCATGATCAAGTGGGCTTCATCCCTGGGATGCAAGGCTGGTTCAATATACGCAAATCAATAAATGTAATCCAGCATATAAACAGAACCAAAGACAAAAACCACATGATTATCTCAATAGATGCAGAAAAGGCCTTTGACAAAATTCAACAACACTTCATGCTAAAAACTCTCAATAAATTAGGTATTGATGGGATGTATCTCAAAATAATAAGAGCTATCTATGACAAACCCACAGCCAATATCATACTGAATGGGCAAAAACTGGAAGCACTCCCTTTGAAAACTGGCACAAGACAGGGATGCCCTCTCTCACCACTCCTATTCAACATAGTGCTGGAAGTTCTGGCCAGGGCAATTAGGCAGGAGAAGGAAATAAAGGGTATTCAATTAGGAAAAGAGGAAGTCAAATTGTCCCTGTTTGCAGATGACATGATTGTGTATTTAGAAAACCCCATTGTCTCAGCCCAAAATCTCCTTAAGCTGATAAGCAACTTCAGCAAAGTCTCAGGATACAAAATCAACGTGCAAAAATCACAAGCATTCTTATACACCAATAACAGACGGCCAAATCATGAGTGAACTCCCATTCACAATTGCTTCAAAGAGAATAAAATACTTAGGAATCCAACTTACAAGGGATGTGAAGGACCTCTTCAAGGAGAACTACAAACCACTGCTCAAGGAAATAAAAGAGGATACAAACAAATGGAAGAACATTCCATGCTCATGGGTAGGAAGAATCAATATTGTGAAAATGGCCATACTGCCCAAGGTAATTTATAGATTCAATGCCATCCCCATCAAGCTACCAATGACTTTCTTCACAGAATTGGAAAAGCTACTTTAAAGTTCATATGGAACCAAAAAAGAGCCCGCATCGCCAAGTCAATCCTAAGCCAAAAGAACAAAGCTGGAGGCATCACGCTACCTGACTTCAAACTATACTACCAGGCTACAGTAACCAAAACAGCATGGTACTGGTACCAAAACAGAGATATAGATCAATGGAACAGAACAGAGCCCTCAGAAATAATGCCACATATCTACAACTATCTGATCTTTGACAAACCTGAGAAAAACAAGCAATGGGGAAAGGATTCCCTATTTAATAAATGGTGCTGGGAAAACTGGCTACCCATATGTAGAAAGCTGAAACTGGATCCCTTCCTTACACCTTATACAAAAATTAATTCAAGATGGATTAAAGACTTAAACGTTAGACCTAAAACCATAAAAACCCTAGAAGAAAACCTAGGCATTACCATTCAGGACATAGGCATGGGAAGGACTTCATGTCTAAAACACCAAAAGCAATGGCAACAAAAGCCAAAATTGACAAATGGGATCTCATTAAACTAAAGAGCTTCTGCACAGCAAGAGAAACTACCATCAGAGTGAACAGGCAACCTACAAAATGGGAGAAAATTTTCGCAACCTACTCATCTGACAAAGGGCTAATATCCAGAATCTACAATGAACTCAAACAAATTTACAAGAAAAAAACAACCCCATCAAAAAGTGGGCAAAGGACATGAACAGACATTTCTCAAAAGAAGACATTTATGCAGCCAAAAAACATGAAAAAATGCTCACCATCACTGGCCATCAGAGAAATGCTAATCAAAACCACAATGAGATACCATCTCATACCAGTTAGAATGGCAATCATTAAAAAGTCAGGAAACAACAAGTGCTGGAGAGGATGTGGAGAAATAGGAACACTTTTACACTGTTGGTGGGACTGGAAACTAGTTCAACCATTGTGGAAGTCAGTGTGGCGATTCCTCAGGGATCTAGAACTAGAAATACCATTTGACCCAGCCATCCCATTACTGGGTATATACCCAAAGGATTATAAATCATGCTGCTATAAAGACACATGCACACGTATGTTTATCGCGGCTCTATTCACAATAGCAAAGACTTGGAACCAACCCAAATGTCCAACAATGATAGACTGGATTAAGAAAATGTGGCGCATATACACCATGGAATACTATGCAGCCATAAAAAATGATGAGTTCATGTCCTTTGTAGGGACATGGATGAAATTGGAAATGATCATTCTCAGTAAACTATCGCAAGAACAAAAAACCAAACACCGCATATTCTCACTCATAGGTGGGAACTGAACAATGAGAACACGTGGACACAGGAAGGGGAACCTCACACTCTGGGGACTGCTGTGGGGTGGGGGGAGGGGGGACTAATAGCATTAGGAGATATACCTAATGCTAAATGACGAGTTAATGGGTGCAGCACCCCAGCATGGCACATGTATACACATGTAACTAACCTGCACATTGTGCACATGTACCCTGAAACTTAAAGTATAATAATAAAAAACAAAACAAAACAAAACAAGGGAAGTGGTGTCCTCTCTGAGCGTTTTCTTTGGAAAACTTGTCATTGTAAATCTTCCTCTGCCCCTTTGAGGGGCATGCAATGCTTTTTGACAACTAAATAAGCCTCTTGCCAGCTTTGCAACCCAGGACTGTGTTCCTGAAGGACCTGGGAGCCCGTCTTTGAAACGTCATCATCAGAGCAGCCAGGGCCCTATCTGCCAGTCTCTGTGGGATGGTGGGGGCCTAACATCTGCTGTGAGTAGTAAATCTACCTCCTGTCACGAAGGTAAGAGTTTATTTTCCTTTGTAACAAGGTAATTAGCAAACGCAGGTGGTCAGGTAAATTGAGGTTGAATCTCCAATAAATGGGTGTGGCCAAAGGTGCTGGGAAGTCCACTGATCTGAGGACTAGGCATTACTCTTCTTGAGAATGCGTGCAGTGAACAATGGGTTGGACCCACTGGCTAGATAAGCGTGAGATTTCTGTCTTTGCAGCATCTTAGCGGATCATTGTCTGTGATGCACATCTCACTCTGAGTTAATGCCTCTTCAATGATGAAAGTGTTTTCTTCCTCTTCTACCTCTGCAGAGAGGCTTGCTGGGATAGATTTTGTTTGTAATTCTATTTCCCCACCGCCAGAGGCCGGACTTTGGGGGTCAGGCAGCTGAGAAGGAGTTTAGAACCCATGCCTAGGCCTTCCACACTCTACAGGCACCCAGTTCATCCATCAGTAGCAGAACTTAGAGTCTTCCTGGGACTCCATACTGCCTGGAGAGAGGAATTCGTTCTCTTTCATTGCTGACATTCCTGGGTGAATGCCTGTGGCAGTTATACTTTACCCATCCCATTTTGTACCTCCTTCCACTCCAGGGGACCCCAAGGGGCCTGGCTCCACTTGCCCAGTGCACCTCCGAAGAAGGGAGACTGGGAAATGAGGATCCTGCCAGGGGGCCAGGTGTTGGACAAGGTGCATGTGAATGTGGAGGAGGAAGACGGAGCCCTCCCAAGAACCTGACAGGGTCAGGGATGAGGTGAGAGTGCTCAGAAGAGTGCTGAGGCAGGACCCAGGCTGGGGCCACGGACCTGCCTCAGCAGCTGGGGTCTGACCTCTTGGGGTTGTGTTCTGACTCCCCTTCCCCCATGGCTCTTTGCCCTCTGGAAGCCAAGGGGCAATGGCAGGTTCACAGTGGCACTGCAAGGGTACAGTTGTTGGGGGTTCTTGGGAGCAGGGGCACCAGTTCTGCTGTGGCCCTGGTTGCCTCCCCTTGCCCAGGCTCCATGTGCACCCTCAGAGTCCCCCTGGCACAACCTTTCTTCTTCTCACGAGGAACACCCCCACTTCCACTTGGGCCTCTGCCAGGAAGAAGGGTGGGAGCTCTGCCGAGGTGTCCCTCTGAGTGACCACCCTCAGCTGGAGCCGCCAGGCCTCTGCACAGTAGCTGCCCCTGGGCCTTGTGTGTAAAATGGGGGTAATAACAGTATCTACCTCATAAGGTTGCTGCAAGAACTAAATGAGTTCCTAGAAGTGAAAGACACTTAGAACCAGGATCCAGAGGCTTGCGAAGGGTGAGCTGGAGTAGCCATGGTAAGTATGGAGAGGGAGGTGAACTGAGGATATAAAATCACCAAGGCAAAAAATTTAAAAACAGAAACAATAACCAGCTGGGCTCAGTGGCTCATGCCTGTAATTCCAGCGCTTTGGGAGGCGCAGCAGAAGCATCACTTGAGTCCAGGATTTTGAGACCAATCTGGGCAACATAGTGAGACCACATCTCTACAAAAAAAAAAAAAAAAATCACTAAGGCAAGAACCTAGTACACTGTAGGCATTCCATAAGTGTTTGCAATTTTTATTCTAATTATATAAAAATAAAATATATTTGAATAGAAACAGAACTCTAGAAGGCAATAACAAGTAATAGTAACTGATTATCTTTTAAAATACAACGAGGTAGGACTACAAGTGGTTTTTTTGTTTTTTTTTTTTTTGGTTTTTTTTTTTGAGACGGAGTCTCGCTCAGCTGCCCAGGCTGGAGTGCTATGGCACGATCTCAGCTCACTGCAACCTGTGCCTCCCAGGTTCATGCGATTCTCCTGTCTCAGCCTCCCGAATAGCTGGGATTACAGGCACCTGCCATCATGCCCAGCTAATTTTTGTATTTTAGTAGAGATGGGGTTTCACCATGTTAGCCAGGCTGGTCTTGAACTCCTGACCTCAGGTGATCCACCTGCCTTGGCCTCCCAAATTGCTGGGATTTCAGGCGTGAGCCACCGTGCCTGGCCTTTTTTTTTTTTTTTTAATACCATTCTGTGATTTAAACTTTTCTATAATGCACAATTAGTTTTATAGTCAGGAAAGGAAAATCAATGTTTTCTTTAATGCTGAGAATTTTTGTTAATATTTCTGACATTTCATAAAACATCTTTTGTTGACATTCTACAAATGATAGCATCCAATAATGTCCCAATACTTTCTTCTTGTGAAGAGAGTTTATATATCTGTAAAAATGAAAGACAAATTATGACTTGCTGATATCGTCATTCACTACTAATTGTCATTATACAAACATGTGTAAGTGAAATTATTCCTCATTCAATTATTGGGTTCATGGTATAACAAACAACAAATGTGATTAAAATATTCAAAGTAGAGGGCAATTCATTACTTGTATCCCCTTTAAATTGCTGCTATGGGAGTAACTCTCAAGAACATAAAAACCAAATTTCTATCCATTTTAAAAGCATACTAAATTTATTTTACATTTTAAATATACTATGTAAGTTTGATATTTAAAGGTATTCTCTTTCTTAATGTGGAGAATGGTTATGTCAGCTGAGTTTGTAATTATATTTTACATAAACCATCACACCTCCCAGTTCTTTGTATCTGTAATTTTTAAGTAATTTTTAAAATTAGATTAACTTTCTCAAAAGTTCAAAAAACAAGGAGCTCTGGTGATCAATAGGCAAACGGCATCAGCATTATTGCTCATCTATCACACTCTTTCTAAAAATATGGACTGGCAAACCTTTTTGACTTCTGTAATATTCATTATTTCAGGAAGATTTTTCAGAGAAACCTGATGACCTTCTACTTGAGATATTAGGTATTCTTGATTTATTTGTTTTTCTCCCTCTTCAATGTAAACAATTAGAATTGAAGTGTCATTTGCTGAGATACCAAATTTTTTCAAAGCCTCTGAAATCTAAGAGAAAAAAAATGAAAAAAAAAACACAAGATCATTAACCATTGTTTCCTACGTCTGAAACATTTCCTGATCTGCCTTCTTCCTTGGTCAGGCTCTTATTTTTCATGTCCTAACAGTTCTCACTGCCTACTTTTTCACTTTAATGATTCCTTTCCAACATCCATTGGCACTTCCTCAAAAGCACTCCCTGCTTAAAGGTACGCCTTGTTCCTATGGAATCAAGCCCAGCCTCTTGGCGCTGCACAAAAACACCTCCTCCCTCTGGTGCCAAGTGGCCCTCCAGCCAGGCGCTTCTGCCTTCTGGCCAGTCCAGCCTGCCTGGGGATCCAGTCACATTTCATGCCCTTCTGCCTGTGCTCAAGCTTTGTCCTCTGCTCGCATGTCCCTTCTCCTCATGGCTTGGCTGCTGAACACATGCTTCAGGGTCCACAGTTCTGATGCCACTCCCCACCACACCCTCCTCCCTCCAAAATGAATGGCTTCATTGCTGTACCCCTAGATTTGAATTCATTTTCCCATTATATCATTTATCTTAGGGCATTTTAACTTGTCTTGTTTATCTGCCTCTCCTCAGGAACATATTTGCCTCTTCTGCCCCTAGAACTGTAAATGGAACGGGGAAAAAGTTCAACAGATGTTTACTGAATTCAAGAGTTTTCTGAATTATGTCTAATGATCTCAAGGAAACCATAATTAGTAAATTTTATTCCAGGTACTGGGAATCTCTATTACCATGCTGAGATAACTGCATTTTATAAACTTGTCAATCATCTGTATTTTAACCTATGCTACAGGTTTCCTGTAGATGACATTAGTACCTGGTTGTTATTAACAGCAGCAGTAATACTAAAACTTCATCAGCAAAATTGCAGTCATTTTTTTCATGTGCTACATGTGTGATGTCTTTAGCTTGATAACTTTCATTGAAAAAGCATTACTATAAGTATTTCAAACCACAAACTCTACCTATGTACTGGGTGTGTGAGTGAGGCTGTGTTAAGGACTGTTATAGGTACAAGCAAGTTCCTGGTATATGAAAAAGACATGGATCCCACCCTCAAGGAGTTTACGGGAAGAGAGAATGATATGCAGGCTAGCACACAAAATATCCACGCCTAATGTTTTATCATTTAGATTTCTGTCAGCTTCTCAAGCAAAAATACTTGAGGGGTCTTCCTGACCCTATATGGTAAGAACAGATAAAATTAACCTCGCTTAATTTAGCTAAATTTTTGTTTACTCATATGTAAACTGTCTTAGTAAGAGGCAGGGTTAAACCTCAACTCTCTGTCCAGAGCTCTCTTCACTATTATTTGGGTTTATTACTAACCACTGGCTTGCAGGAATTTAGCCTCCAACCCAACACTGAGGAACACATATGTTATTATGACACGGTCAACAGAAATAGGAAAGTGCACATTACATTGTTATTTGGGGAAAGGTTGAAAATAATTTCAGTAGATAGAGTTCTTGTCTTCATTTTTCCCAGTTTGTAGAGGTGAACTGCTTTGTTTGCTGCCACAAGTATCTGAAATGGATCAACAATCTACCAAAGCAAGGAAAAAGAATTAATTACACATGGAGAATCTGCAGTGCCTGAAAACACATGGTAACTCATGGTTAACTCCAGTGTCAAGCTGTTTTACTTCATCACAATTCTTACGGTCTGTATTTTCAAAACTATTATCCCGGCTGGGCACGGTGGCTCACACCTGTAATCCTAGCACTTTGGGAGGCCAAGGTGGGTAGATCACCTGACGTCAGGGTTCAAGACCAGCCTGGCCAACACGGCGAAACCCTCTCTACTAAAAATACAAAAATTAGTCAGGCGTGGTGGCACGCACCTGTAATCCCAGCAACTCAGGAGGCTGAGGCAGGACAATTGCTTGAACCCGGGAGGCAGAGGTTGCCGTGAGCCAAGATCGCGCCATTGCACTCCAGCCTGGGCAACAAGAGTGAAACTGTCTCAAAAAAAAAAAAAACAAAAAACAACTATTATCCCAAGGGCCTGGGTAGTCAGGAAATCACAGAATTTTAAAGCTGCAAGGAACTTATGCAAATAGTAAAATTTTTTTAAATAACATTAATTGAGGGCTAATATTATGGGCATGATCATATTGCAAACATTTTACTTGTAATATTTTCTTTAATCCTCAAAACTACCCTATGAAATTGACACTATTATTAGTAGTAGTAGCAGTAGTAGTAGTATGTAATTGATGAGGAAATTGAGGCAAAGAATGTCTGGGTTTGAATCCCATCTCTGTCACCTATCACCTAGGAAACTTATGCAAGTTCATTAGCATTTTATTTGTTAGAGACCGATGAAACAGTATTCACTCCATAGGCTGTTGTGAAGATTAAGCAAGTTAGTATACGTAAAGCACTTGGAACAATGCTAGGAATGCAGTAAGCACTATATAAAGGTTGGTTATGTCTTGTTCAAAGGCCTAAGTAGTAGGTCTGGGATTAATTCCCGGTAACATGATCGCACTGCGTGTGCCCTGTTTTTTTGTTTTTTTTTTTTTTTGGAGACAGACAGAGTCTCTCGCTCCATTGCCCAGGCTGGAATGCAGTGGCTCAATCTCAATTCACTGTAACCTCCGCCTCCCAGGTTCAAATGATTCTTGTGCCTCAGCCTCCCGAGTAGCTGGGACTACCAGCACACACCACCACACCCAGCTACTTTTTGTATTTTTAGTAGAGACACGGTTTCACTATGTAGGCCAGGCTGGTCTCAAACTCCGGGCCTCAAGCAATCCACCCACCTTGGCCTCTGTGTGTACTCTTAACCACTACACTATTCCTCCTCTACAGACTGTCTTGTTAGGAACCCCCATTTTAAAGATGAGAAGCTGGAGATCCAGGCATTTCCCATATTAGACCCAGACCACAACCTTTCCTATTTCCTAGGGCAGGACCTGGCACTTCTGCCTCTATTCACTGTTATAGTCAAAGTTGGCTGCATCTGACTTGGACAAGAATTTTTTCCCTAACCGTGACAGATTTTTAGGCTACCCTATAACATCACAAATATTAATGTATACTTAAATGCCCTGTATGGCTCATTCATTCTTTTTTTTTTTTTTTTTTTTTGAGGCGGATTCTTGGTCTGTTGCCCAGGCTGGAGTGCAGTGGCACAATCTCGGCTCACTGCAACCTCTGCCTCCCAGGCTCAAGCGATTCTCCTGCCTCAGTCTCCTGAGTACAGGTGCCCACCACCATGCTCAGCTAATTTTTGTATTTTTAGTAGAGACAGGGTTTCACCATATTGGCCAGGCTGGTCTCAAACTCCTGACCTCATGATCTGCCTGCCTCGGCCTCCCAAAGGGCTGGGATTACAGGCGTGAGCTACCATGCCTGGCCATTTTTTTTTTCCAGACAGAGTTTTGCTCGTCGCCCAGGCTGGAGTGCAATGGCGCAATCTTGGCTCACTGCAACCTCTGCCTCCAGGGTTCAAATGATTTTCCTGCCTCAGCCTCCCGAGTAGCTGGGATTATAGGCGCCCGCCACCACGCCCAGCTAATTTTTGTATTTTTAGTTGAGACAGGGTTTCACCATGTTGGCCAGGCTGGTCTTCAACTCCTGACCTCAGATGATCCACCCGCCTCGGCCTCCTAAAGTGCTGGCATTACAGGCGTGAGCCACCGCACCCAGCAGGCTCATTCATTCTTAAAATTTATATTTACCACTGTAGGATTTATCAGTGATCCATCGATGGTGCCTTCCATGGCCTTTCTTCTCAAGTCTCCCGCATTTTTTACATCTTTAAATAACAGAAGGGTTACCCTGCATTCGGGAAATAGGTCCAGCTGATGTGTTAACTGCATTTCACAGATAAGCAGGATTCTACTGCACACAAAATGAAAAGACCAAAAGATTTCATTTAAAAGTTAACATCAGAACTCATTTCTTAATAAATATTCAAAAACTTTGAAAGTAACTTGATAAAAGTGTTAAACTAGAAAAATCCATCGCCAAAGCCCATTTGGCATCCTCATGAGATGTTGTCTTCCTAACCCTTCTGAGTTGTTCTGTTGTCATCCCCAGGGAAACGCCAAGGGGCCCAGCTGGTTGCTGTTTGTTCAGATGAGGCAGGCTCAGGTGCATGGTTGAAGGGCTGCTTCCCCAGCAGACAAGTAGGAGCAGAATGTCAGGAATTTTTTAAACCAGAGGTTGCTTACGGTATTAATGAAGTCTTACTCTATCTTAGTCTTTTTAACTTCCTGATCTCATCATTTTATTTATATTTTAGGAAGGCCTAGACATAAATATTAAGGAAGAAAATAATTTTAAAGAATAAAGTAGGCTGGGTGCAGTGGCTCATGCCTGTAATCTCAGCACTCTGGGAGGCCGAGGCGAGCAGATCACCTGAGGTTGGGAGTTCGAGACCAGCCTGACCAACATGGAGAAACCCCGTCTCTACTAAAAATGCCAAAAAAATTAGCCAGGCATGGTGGCGCATGCCTGTAATCCCAGCTACTCAGGAGGCTGAGGCAGAAGAATCGCTTGAACCTGGGAGGCAGAGGTTGCAGTGAGCCGAGATCATACCATTGCACCCCAGCCTGGGCAACAAGAGTGAAACTCCGTCTCAAAAAAAAAAAAGAATAGGGGGAAGGGATAGCATTAGGAGATATACCTAATGTAAACGATGAGTTAATGGGTGCAGCATACAAACATGGCACATGTATACAGATGTAACAAACCTGCACGTTGTGCACATGTACCCTAGAACTTAAAGTATAAAAATAAAAAAAAAGGATAAAGTATCCCACTTGACCCAAAGATATTCATTCCACGCATGGAAATTAAGCAGAGAGGGTACAATTATTAAATAATCAATGTCGCTCCTTTCTTGGACATAAGCTTAACAAGAAAAGGATAGGTTATTATATATAAAGACATAAAAGAAACATAAAAGACAACTTGAATAACCAGAAAGACATGACCATATCTTTGAATGGAAAAACTATGTATTGCAAAAATTTCTTTAAAACAATTTCTATCAAATTCTTAATAAAATATTTTGGTGGGGCAATTTGAGACTCATTTTATCCTTTTACCTGGCAGATTATATTTCTAGAACTCTTTCTGATGGAAGTCATTAGGAATCCAATAATTATATAAGATGTTCCTCTCATTATTTTAACAGTAAAAAGTTGCAAATAACCTATCTAGCTAATGATGGGATTAGTTGTTATTTAACAACCATTAAAACATGTGGTCTTGACGGTGTGTAAAAACGGCAATAAATAACATTAAGTAAGTAAAAACATCTGAATGGAAAACAAAACACAAACTGGCCAAAATGTGGGTTTTTTAAAAGGCTTTTAAACAAATATTAAAAAGAAAATACACCAAAAAGTTAATGTTATCTCTTATTTAGAATTAATTTGACTTTTTCTGTTACAAACAGAAAAAAATATATTTGTGAACGATATCCTGGCACACAGTTCAATCATTAGTCATGCTAAGGTGGAAAAAATGGATACAGAAAGACATAATCAGTAGGATCCCAATTATATAAAAAGATACACATATTTTTTTAAAATACATGAAAGAAACACTAAAATATGACCATCTTGGGTAGTGAGGTTATGAGGTGATTTTTATTGTCCTTTATATAAAAGAAAATATTTTGTTATGTATGTTCTGAATTTTCTACAGTAAGCACACAAAACATGAGTACACATAATAAGAAAGGAAAAAAACGTGCTTTTTAACACTGAGTGGGGGGAAGAACCCTTAGAAAACTTCAAAATAGTTTGTTCTTGTTTAGCGTAATTTACTCACTCAGGTCAGAAACTTGGAATCATCGTTGAGACCCAACCTGTCACTCAAATCCTATATCTAATCCGTAAAGTCCTGAATTTTCACCTGCTAAATATACTTTTGATTCGTCCACTTCTCTCCCATACGCTAGGTCACATCGCTCATCTACAGCAGTAGCCTTCTGAGTGGTTTCTCACAATTCCTGCCCTCCTATAATCCAGTCGTCACCAGCAGTTACAGTGATCCTTTCAAAATGTACATCAGATCTTGTCATTCTGCTGCTCTTATGATAAAGCCCCAACTTTGTGTCACGGTGTTCCACACTCTACGATCTGGTCCCTGCCTCTCCTCTTCTGCTACCGCCGCAATGGCCTTCTCTAAGCTCAAGTCACCAACCTTTCTCCCCGATTCTGCCCTATCGGACAGGTAGTTCCCTCTCTCCTTTCATCTCCGCCTGACGCACTCCTCCCTCCCTTCAACTCCATTTGGAGTCCATTTACTACAGCGCCCAGAACCCCGGCACTACGGCTCTTTTTAGTCTGAGGACTAGCTCCTTTTTGGGCCCAATCACAACTCTGAAGAATCCTGCGCCTATCCGCTGCATGTCTCCTCACTAAACTATTTCTTGAGGGGACAGCCTGACTCTATCATTCTCGTGCTGCATTCCCAGGGGCTGGCCTCGTTGCCGCTTGAGAAATACCAACCGCAGCCGTTGTCCCAAAGACACTACTAAAACTGCCCGGACCCTCCCGCTCCCGAGCCTGCCCGTTAGAGCGCAAGGAAAACTCACCATCCGGCCCCCAGTGCGTCTCGGAAGAGCTCCCGCTCCGAAACAAAGCTCACAACTTCCGGAAGCGATGGCCAATCCCCGTCTTCTTCGAGCCAGTTTCCGGATAGGCCGGCTCGGGGTGGCCATCTGTTTCCGGGTCCTGGTAGGAGGGGTGCTTCCGCCCATGGTCCCGCCCATTCTTCCGCCTCCCCAACCTGGGTCCCGTCAACGGACGCGAAGGAGAACAGGGGCTGTATATCACTTCCGGCGAAGGAAATGGAAGAATCTATGGGCTGGGACCGGAAGCTGGGGTCTGGTTTTGAGTCTCGGCTTTGTCTTAACCTGTGTTGGGCGTTGCACCGGGCGACCTCAGTTTCTTCCTGTACAAGGAAAAGTACTGACCAAAATGAGTTCTACATACATTTCCGCTGCTGGAGATTTCTTTGGTTTTTGAGACAGAGTCTTGCTCTGTTACTCAGGCTGGAGTGCTGTGGTGCAATCTCGGCTCACTGCAACCTCCGCGTCCCGGTTCAAGCCATTCTCCTGCCTCAGCCTCCCGAGCAGCTGGGACTACAGGCACCCGCCACCACGCCCCGCTAATTTTTTGTATTTTTAGTAGAGACGGGGTTTCACCGTGTTAGCTAGGATGGTCTGGATCACCTGACCTCGTGATCCACCCGCCTTGGCCTCCCAAGGAGCTGGGATTAGTTCTTTTTCTGGGCCATGTCTCCTGTGACACTTTGGACTTTTGAGTTTAATGCTGGAACAAGTTAAAATTTTGGTAGGTGATTGGGAAGGCATGATTATGTTTTGCAATGTCAGAAGGACATGAGATTTGGGGGTCCAGGGATGGATTGAATATATGTCCCTGCCAAATCTCATGTTGAATTGTCCCCATTTTTGGAGGTGGGACCTGATGGGAGGTGTTTGGGTCATGGAAGTGGATCTCTCATGGCTTGGTGTCTTTGCAATAGTGAGTGAGTGCCAGGAAGATGTGGTTATTTAGAAGTGTGTGGCACCCTCCAACACAGTCTCTTGGTCCAGTTCTCACCATGTGATGTGCCTGCTCTCTCTTCTCCTTCTGCCAATAGTAAAAGCTCCCTGGGGCCTCCTCAGAGGCCAAACAGATGGTGGTACTATGCTTCCTGTACAGCCTGCAGAAACATGAGCCAATTTAACCTCGTTTCTATATAAATTACCCAGTCTCAGGTATTTCTTTGTGGCAATGCAACAGCCTAATTGCAGGGGGCAGGGGCAGGGGGAAGAGGTGGGGAGGCATGACACACTGGGCTAAAACATGAAGAACATTCGGCCAGGTGCGGTGGCTCACGCCTGTAATCCCAACACTTTGGGAGGCCGAGGCAGGCAGATCACCTGAAGTCGGGAGTTCGAGACCAGCTTGACCAACGTGGAGAAACCCCGTCTCTACTAAAAAATAAAAAATTAGCCAGGCATGGTGGCTCATGCCTGTAATGCCAGCTACTCAAGAGACTGAGGCAGGAGAATCACGTGATCTGGGGAGGCAGAGGTTGCCATGAGCTGAGATCGCGCCATTGCACTCCAGCCTGGGCAACAAGAGTGAAACTCCCTCTCAAAAAAAAATAAATAAATAAAAATTAAAATTAAAAAAAATATATATATATATATATACATATATATATGAAGGACATTCTATTTCTGGGAGACACTGGAACAGGGCCCTGGCTGGTCTGGTTAGTCTCTCTCTATCACAGGATGCTACATTCCCAGCACATTCTACAGTTATCCTAGAGAACCACAAGTGAGAAAGGAGAGAGAACTAAATTGGTCCAAGGCCACCTGGAGAACTGTCCTGCAGTCTATGCCCTTAACCCAGATTATACCCTTTAGCAAAGCTAGTCCGTTTCATATGCCCACCAACCTCCTAGTATCTGGAGGCGGAAGTTTGTCTTATCAGATCGATGTAACACCTTCACAGACACAATGTCAGTACAACATTGTTGAGCCATAGCCAGAATACATTTTACTAGGCCCAGGAGGACTACATCACAAACAGGTTGATCAGGTCTGTCTGGAGCATCAACCTAGTCCAGGATCCAGTGATCCAGGTAAGAACATAATAGGTCAAAGGTGCCAGCCCACCAAGATCTTATTAGTTGTCATGATGTTTTGCCACCTTAGGCCAATTAAGTCTACCTCCCTCCCATGTGGCAGATGTTAGATCCTCACTCAGTAAGCCAGGGCTCAGGTTCTGTTGATATTCACTGTGCCACTATAATACTGGTAGAGTTTACTACTGGCAGGACGAGAAGGTTGCTGTAGCCTGTGACATAATGGGGTCTGGGATGACAGATCCAGCACTTTCCTATGGTAGCCACAGCTTGGGAGAGCCTAACAAACGCGTTATGCTTCTAGGCCTCTGCAGTCACGTCCTTGTGGAAAAAGCAGACTGACAGGTTAGTGCCCTGCCCCTTACACTTCCTGCATCCTCGGGTATTCCCTACCTATGTGATAGAGGTTGAGCTGAGTGTAGTGTCCCAGTCTGACTGCTGCAGTCCCGAGAGTACCCATTCCGCTTGTTGCATGACCCAGGCCTTTTGGCTTCAGTCGTCCAGTCCGGGAAGGTTTGTCTTGTACAAACTCGACATGTCTGATAAGGTTACCTACCTGAATGGAAGGATCAGGTGTTCCTGGTGCCACTAAGCCTAGCACCCTGATACTCCTTGGTCCTGTCCTGTATCCCTGTGGATTTCATAGAAGAGAGGCACCCGGGGGACGTATCACCTCTAGATCAGAGTCAGAGGGGCCTGTCGGGTGCTCTGGCAGCTTGAACCACCGGCCACCTACAGGATGTGCACTCTAAATGGAAAAAGAAAAGACAATGGTTGGGAACACTGAGATTGGAATTTCACAGGTGCAGCCTCATCAGGCAGTCACCTGGTCCACCTCTATCCACATCAAGCTCAGCGTTTTTCAAGATGTGTGCAGTGCTGTGTTTCCCTTGATTGGAGAACAGTGCTTAGTGTCCACACTGCCCTAGTCAGGTTGAGGTGCCACCCCACTAACAGGCTGTCCTGATGTCCTTTATTCAGTTGCTTTGTGAGTTGACTGGTCCATCATTCAATGGCTCCATTGGCCTGTGGATGACAGAGTGCATGGAAAACCCACTGTATTGCATGAGTGTGCCCACTGTCATGTTGCTTGGGCAGTGAGGATTTTCCTTGGTCAGAGTGAAGTCCCATGGGGTATCCAAAAACATAAGTCCTCTCAAGGGCAGCTGTGGTAGTCAGAGCATCCACATGAGTGGCATATAGAGTCCCTTCCAACAGCAAGCTGTTGCCATAGCCCTTGTCCCCACACATGGAATCTTTTAATAGTCCAATCACTGCTGCCATTCCCCTGACCAGATGGCTAGGCTGTTGGCAATGGCCCATGAGTCAGTAAAAATGTGGCAAGATATGGTGGTAGGTGGGAGGGGATGTGCCCCACTGTTATGGCTCAAATCCTTAGCTGTTAGGGGTCATAGCCCCTCTGGTGGCAGTGACATTCTGTGCCACAAGCCACCAAAATGTCAATGCCTATAAAGCACTCAGTGGTGGGAACCATGGTCACTGACACCTGAAATGGCCCAAAGGCCTCCACCCACAAGCAGATAAGCACCACAAGCAGATAAACACTATGTGTCACCGAGTTCATCCCCAAACTTCCTGGTGTCACCAGCTTAATTTTTCCCCTAAAGGAACCTGGAAATTCTGTCATGTGGCCTTCAGTATCCAAGAACTCGAAAGAAATCAGAATTTCCATCTTTCCCCATTTTATTTATTTATTTTTTTTTTGAGACAGGATCTCTCTCCATTGTCCATGTTGGAGTGCAGCCTCAACCTCCCAGGTTCAGACAATCCTCCAGCCTCAGCCTCCCACATAGCTGGGATTACAGAAGCACACCACCACACCTAATTATTTTTAAATTTTCTGTAGAGACGAGGTCTCACTTTGTTGCTTTGGCTGGTCTCTAAGTCTTGGGCTCAAGGGATCCTCCTGCCTTGGCCCCACAAAGTACTGGAATTATAGGTATGAGCCACTGCACCTGGCCCCATTTTATCTTAATAGGAGTATAGAGCCATTGGCCTCTGGTGGGGATCCAGAGACCTTGGGCCCCATTCCTACCCGTGCCATACAGCCCAAGACATTTGGGTTTGCAATGTCCCTTTATCAAATATATTCATCAACCAGGATGCATGTGACTTCCTTGGCCTTTCTCCATGTCTAAGACTGTGGTCCTTTAGACTTGAGTCTCCCTTTCTGTGACGGGCCACGTTGTGCATGTGGGTTCCTCTCAGATGCTTCAGGGACCATGTGAGTACCTCATCCCTCTTCTTTCTCTTAAGTGCCTTAGGGTATGTTTGGGTCCCCAATCATCAGCCCTGGAAATGAGCAATCACATAAGTGGCTAACAACCAAGGGATCCTGTGTGGCATTTCAGCTCCACCTTACTTTCTCTCTGCTTCCACCCATTCAGCCAGCTCAGTCACATCCACAGGGTGTGTTTGCACGTGACCTAATGTCTCACGTATCACCCCTCCTTTCCCATAAAATGTCCAGTTGCAAGTCCAGCCTCTGCACCCACAGGTTGACATCACCACCTCCTTTCACCAGGAAAACATGGTTCTGTTAGACTGAACCCTGTTTGTTGTGTCAATTTTGTGAAGCAGGCTCATTGTGCACTGGTTATCAACTTGCCTGAGTCCAATGAGATGGTAAGATGGAATGCCCACACACAAGTTACATGAAGTGGGTTTATTACTTACAGATTGGCCCTGAGGCACAACAGAAGCCCGGAATTCATTGTGAGCCAATCTCCCAAGGCTCAAGAAAGCTACCGAGGGTGGATGGATTCTCACAAGTGGGGCATGTGTCCCACTTGCACTGCAGCTGAGGGACACTAGAAAGCATCCCACACTGGATTTAATACCCTGGGGACCACATGACACGCTGGGCAAAAGTGTTGATGGACATCTTGTTTCTCAGAGGCAGACAGGAACAGAGAGAGCCTGTGAGCTGTTCTTGTCAGTCCCTCTTTATCGCAGGATGTTGCATTCCCAGCACATTCTACAGTTATTGTTGAGAACACACGTGAGAAAGAGGGAAGAACTGGGCGAGTCTAAGGTGACCTGGAGAATTGTCCTGCAGCTTGTTCTTGAATGTTCATATCAACTTTACTCATAATAGCCAAAAACTGGAAATAACCAATGCCCAACAATACATTGATAAACACATTGTGGCAAATTCATACAGTGAGATACCACTCAGTAATGAACAGGAATGAACTGCAGATACTTCCAACAATACTTGCAACATGGATGAGTCTTTAGAATGTGCTCAGCAAAATGACAATCTAAAATTAATTACTAGGCTGGGAACGGTGGCTCAAGCCTGTAATCCCAGCACTTTGGGAGGCTGAGGCAGGAAGATCACCTGAGGTCAGGAGTTCGAGACCAGCCTGTCCAACATGGTGAAACCCTGTCTCTACCAAAAAGTACAAAAATTAGCCGGGTGTGGTAGCAAGCATCGGTAATCCCAGCTACTCGGGAGGCTGAGACAGGAGAATCGCTTCAACCTGGGAGGCAGAGGTTGCAGTGAGCCAAGATTGTGCCACTGCACTCCAGCCTTGGCGACAGAGGAAGATTCTGTCTCAAAAATAAATAAATAAAATAAAATAAATTACCATATGATTTCATTTCTACAAAATGCTAGAGATTACAGATTTATTATGGAGTGACTGAAAGCAAATCAGTGGTTGCTTGGGATAGGGAAGTGGGAGACACTGACTGGAAAGGACCCAAAGGGAATCTTTAGGGTGAAGCCAATGTTCTATATCTTGATGTGGTGTCAGTTACAAGGAAGTATGAATTTGTTACAATTCATCAAATTAGGTATACTTTAGAAGAGTATATTATATATAATATATATTTAATATATTTTAAAAAATATATATATATAATTTTTTTTTTTCTGAAACAGAGTCTTGCTTTATCACCCAGGCTGGAGTGCGGTGGCACGATCTTGGCTCACTGCAACCTCCGCCTCCCAGGTTCAAGCGATTTTCCTGCCTCAGCCTCCCGAGTAGCTGGGATTACAGGTGCGCCACCACGCCAGGCTAATTTTTGTATTTTTAGTAGAGATGGGGCTTCACCATGCTGGCAGGCTGGTCTCGAACTCCTGACCTTGTGATCCGCCCATCTTGGCCTCCCAAAGTGCTGGGATTACAGGCATGAGCCACCATGCCCAGCCTAGAAGAGCATATTTTATAAACTACAAATTATGCCTCAATAAAGTTGATTCGAAAACAGACATAAAAATTGTTGTCTCATATCAAGCAGAGTCCCATGGAATAAAAAAATTGTCTTGGCCGGGCATGGTGGCTCATGCCTGTAATCCCAGCACTTTGGGAGGCCCAGGCAGGTGGATCACCTGAGGTCAGGAGTTCAAGATCAGCCTGGCTAACATGGTGAAACCCCATCTCTACTAAAAATACAAAATTAGCTGGGCATGGTGGCGCACGCCTGTAATCCCAGCTACTCGGGAGGCTAAGGCAGGAGAATCGCTTGAAACCAGCAGGCAGAGGTTGCAGTGAGCCAGAATTGCACCCTGCACCCCAGCCTGGGTGACAGAGTAAGACTCCATCTCCAAAAAAAAAAAAAAAAAAGTTGTCTCAGTTCATAGCAGCTTGTTTCTAACTATTAAAAGCTGGAAACAACCCACAACCCAAATGTTCGAGTGAATGGATAAACAAAGTGTCACACATCCATACAATGACTGCAACTCAGCAATAAAAAGAAGTCAGCTATTGCTATATACAGCAACATGGATGAATCTCAAAATAATTATGCCAAATCAAAGAAGCCAGACATAAAAAGAGTGCATACTATATGATTCCGTTTATGTAAAACTACTCTATGGTGACAGCAGATCAGTGGTCGCTTGAGTAGGGGTTCTAGGATGCAAAGGGAGGATTACAAAGGAGTGTGGGGGAACTGTGGAGTAATAGATGTGTTCTACCTTGATTATGGTAATGGCTTCATGGATGTGTATATGTCATGTGAATCTAATTGTATGCTTATAAAAATATACAGCATATTGCATGTCAATTATCTCTCTAACGCTGTTTAAGAAACATGAGACACTACATCTTTTTGTTGGAACAGCTAAAATTAGAAAAAACTAACAACACTAAGTATTGGTGAGGATGTGAGCAACTGGAGCTCTCATAGCTTATTCACGGGGATGCTGTGTAATACAGACATTTTGCAAAAGTTTGGCAGTTCCTTATAAAATTAAATATACACTTACCCCACAACAGCAATCCCAGTACAAGGGAAATAAAAACAATTCACCCAAAAATCTCTATGCAAATGTTTATGGCAGCTTTGTTCAAAATTCGAATATTGGTAAATAACCCAAATATCCTTCAACTAGTAGATGGAAAACAAATTGTGGTATATCCACAGCATACTCAGCAACAAAAGGGAATGAACTGTTGATCTACTCAGCAACATGGAGGAAGCTCAAAAGCATTATGCTAAATGAAAGAAGCCACATTTGAAAGGCTACATACTCTGTTATTCCATTTATACAACATTCTAGAAAAAGCAAAACTATAGGGACAGAAAATAGGTCAGCATTTGCCAAAGTCTGGGGTTGGTGAGAATGGATTGCTACAAAATGCCATGAGGGAATTTTAGGGGATGATGGAATGGTTGTATATTTTGATTGTGGTGGTGGTGGTGATGGTTATAAAACTACGCATTTGTCAAAATTTGTAGAACTGTACACTAAAAGAGGTGAATTTTACTATTTGACTATTTTTTAAGTCATCTCAGAGGTAAAAATGATCCCTTATGACTTGCAAGGGTTATGTACCATAAAATTAGTTCAAAAGATCTAATTTGATAAGGTGTTAGATGAGAGCTTTCAAAACAATATCAACTTTATTCTTCTCTGCAATATATAGACTTGTATAAATATGCATAACTGTTACCATGTGTTAAAATGAATCTAACCTTGGAAATGTTATCTGAACAAATGGGTCAGGTAAGATACCCAGACTCCAAACACAATCCCCATGTCTTGTGAAAATAACTTCGAAAATGAAACTTGTAATTCTTGATCAATTGTTATGTTGGATGTAACTGACATTTCTATATTCTTAAAAGGTATAAATATTTGTAGGACTTCAATGTCAAATCAGTGAGAGATGTGGTACTTCCAGCTGTCATACACATGTCTGAATGATTAAACACTTATGACTGTCAGATTTTTAAACAAATATCTGGGTGTCTTAACCTAGGCCCTCTAGAAAGCAGAGCCCAAGGCAAGGATTAAAGCACTGGTATTTTATTTATTATTTATTTTTATTATACTTTAAGTTCTAGGGTACACGTGCACAATGTGCAGGTTTGTTACATATGTAACAACCCAAATGTCCATCAATGATAGACTGGATTAAGAAAATGTGGCACATATACACCACGGAATACTATGCAGCCATAAAAATTGATGAGTTCATGTCCTTTGTAGGGACATGGATGAAGCTGGAAACCATCATTCTAAGCAAACTATCACAAGGACAGAAAACCAAACACTGCATGTTCTCACTCATAGGTGGGAATTGAACAATGAGAACACTTGGACACACGGCGGGGAACATCATTCACCGGGGCCTGTCATGAGGTGGGGGGATGGGGGAGGGATAGCATTAGGAGAAATACCTAATGTAAATGACGAGTTAATGGGTGCAGCACACCAACACGGCACATGTAAGCACTGGTATTTTATTTGGGATATGTAAGAACAGAGAGGTGAGGGCGAGGAAAAAGGTAAATGAAGCAAGGAACGATGCATAGCAATGTGATGTAATGCATTACCTCACCGCAGGCTTCACAGTGAGCCAGGAGGACACACGGAGTGTTTGCCAAGTGCATTTACTTAGCCGAACACATTTGCCAGACAACCTGTGTGTCTTCTCTGGAAGGCATGCAAGGCAAAACCATGGCTGAGAGGAGTTCACAGGAGGGAGACAGGAGGGGGCGCTTGCCTGCCAGGCTCCCTCCTGTCCTCTGCATTTCACTAATCAAGGCCCTCCAGAGGGAGCTGACTCCTCCATACTTCTGGATCATTGCCTTAAACCTGTCAGCAGAAGCTCAAGGGGTTGATGGGGTTGATGGAATCTGAGACAGTGCTCTAGAATCTGTGTTTCATACAGGATGAGATATAAATGAAACAAATGCTAAATAATGACACAAGGTACCTTGCCGAGAGAGGAATCATCCACCTGGAAGGGTAGGCTGTTTGTGAATAATGTAGGGTGGGAGAGAAGGCTTTACTAAGGAGATGGGCTTAAAGAATGTGAACGATGTGCTCACAGAGGCCACAGAAGAGAAATTATAGCCAGGAGAACAACCTGAAAGACAAAGGACACGGTGGCATAAGCACATGTAACACAATGTACTCAGGAAATGGCTGGCATCCTGAGATATGGAGTGGAATACAGTACAGGGCTTTGTAAACTCAGCTTGGAGTCAGATCACAGAAAGCCTTGACAAGGAACTGAAAATGGGTTCTGAAGGCCAGAAGCCATTCAAGATTCCCAAAGGGAAAAACACAAATCAGCTTGTTTTCAGGACGTAATTCTGGGGCAGTTGCTAGAATTACATCAGAAAGGAGGTTCACACAGGATACTAGAAGGGTCCTCCCTTCCATAGTAGAAGTGTTTGTGGTGAACAAAAATTAAAATTTCAAAGATGGTAACTGTCAGAATGGAGAAAAATAAAACTTAAATGTGTGCGGCAGGAGGAAAGTAAACAAAAACCAAGCTGACTAACCACCTTATTACAAGGCCACCATGACAAGACTAGAGCGTCCATCATCAGCTTTTAGTGCCTCAATGTTAAGTATGGACAAATGAGCAGTAAACATGGTCATGAGGTATTTCAAGAACACTTCTAAGAGCAGAGACAGAGGTATAAACAAGTAGCGGACGGGAAAGAAAGAAAAAAAAAGTTGATTCAGGGAACAGAAGAAATGTAGAAATAATTGACATTAGAGAGATAATGAATTCATTTTCTAATAGCATTTTTTTCCAGAAAAAAAATGAGCTAGCTCTTGGAAATTAAAATCATAGAGCAGAAAAAATATATATAGCAGAAAATGTAGATAGCCAACAGAAAGGTAGAAAATAAAGCTGAGAAAATCATCCTAAATTTTAAAAAAAGGCAAAAGGTTAAAAATGGAAAACAAGAGAAAAAAAAACTTAGAGGTACATTTCAGAAAATCCCACATTCAACTAATAAAACTCCCCCCTCCCGCAAAAAAAATGTGATTAAAATTGAAATATCCCAGAACTGAAGCACATAACTTGCCAGATTGAAAAAGCTCACTAAGTATTTAGCATTATGAATTAAAAAGCACCCACACTGGCTGGGCTCGGTGACTCACACCTGTGATTTCAGCACTTTAGGAGGCTGAGGCGGATGGATCACTTGAGGTCAGGAGTTTGAGACCAGCCTGGCCAATGTGGTGAAACCCCGTCTCTACCAAAAATACAAAAATTAGTCAGGCATTGTGGCATGTGCCTGTAGTCCCAGCTACTTGGGAGGTTGAGGCAAGAGAATCGCTTGAACCTGGGAGACGGAAGTTGCAGTGAGCCAAGATCATGCTACTACACTCCAGCCTGGGCGACAGAGTGAGACTGTATCAAAAAAAAAAAAAAAAAAAAAAAAAAAAAAAAAAAAAAAAAAAAAAAAAAGCACCCACTAAGTCATAACATGAAATTTCAGAACACCTGAGATAAAGATCCTAAAGCTGCCAGAGAGGAAAATTACAGGTCACAAATAAAAGCTCTGCAGTCAGGATAGCACAGGATTTCAACAGCAGAGATGAAATCTAGAACAACAATGAATTAATGCATTTAAAACTGCTTACCTACAATTCCACGATCAAACTATCAAAGGAGTGAAAGAGTAAAATAAACCCATTTCACTCAGGCAAAGGTCTTGAAAAGTTTATATCCCAATGACCTTCCCTGGGATGCTGAAAGATATACTCCACCCAACAGGAAAGTAAACCAAAAAGCAGCAGCTATGGGATCCAGGAGACAGGAGAGGAAGAAATGACCAGGGTGAAGGTAAAGAGAAATCCCAGGGCAGAAGCTATGCCTGAGGTCTAGAGAATAACCAACGTGCAGTGGCTCACGCCTGTAATCCCAGCACTTTGGGAGGCCAAGGCGGGCAGATCACTTGAGGTCAGGATTTCGAGATCAGCCTGGCCAACATGGTGAAACCCACTCTCTACCAAAAATTTAAAAATTAGCTGGGTGTGGTGGTGCATGCCTGTAATCCTAGCTACTCAGGAGGCTGAGGTGGGAGGATCGCTTGAACTCAGGAGGCGGAGGCTGCAGTGAGCCAAGATCACACCACTGCACTCAAGCCTGGGCAACAGAGTGAGACCTTGTCTTCAAAAAAAAAAAAAAAAAAAAAAAAAAAGAATAACCAAAGTGCCTGTTCTGGGCTGAGTTGTGTCACTCCAAAAGTCATGTTAAAGTTCTAACCACAGTATCTCAGTATGTGACTGTATTTGGAAATGGGCCTTTAAACAGGTAAATAAGTAAAAGTGAAGTCACTAGAGTGGGCCCCAATCCAATATGACCAGCGTCCTTTTTCTTTTTCTTTTCTTTTAAATTGAGGTCCCATTCCAATTAGCATCTTTTTAAGGTAAGGAAATTTAGACACAGAGAGACACAAAGGGAAGACCATGTGAAGACACAGGAAGACGGCCATTTACAAGACAAGAAGAGAGGCCTCTGAAGAAACCAACCCTGCTGACACCTTGCTCTTTCCATCTCCAGAATTGTGAGAAAATTAATTTCTCTTATTTAAGCCACCCAGTCTGTGGTACTTTGCTATGGCAGCCCTAGTAAACGAATATAGCACTGAACCCAGAACAAGGGAACCAGGAAAGATTAAGAAAAAAAAAAAGAATTTGATGTATATACAAGATTACATAATGCTATCAGAGATTTGGGGGATGAATTCATCATCAATCCATAGGAAAAGAGGCAAACAAATGAAGTAAAAGTGAGGGGGGAAAAGTGGTCTGAGAAACACAATCATGGTACACTATGGCTCATGATGAATATTTAGCTAGTAAATAACATGAACTTAGATCGCTGACTTAACCAAAGGTTGAGAAACAACTGTGGTGTGGTGTGGGTGGATATTATGAAAGAGCTAAATTCTTATCTACCATAGGAGGAAATCAACAGGTAATAACACTAATGGAAAAATCAAGAAGTGGCGATATAAGCACATTATTTAAATATGGAGGCAAATGCCAATAAATAATGCAAAAATACTTAAAGTGGCTGCCTTTGGGAAATGATATCCAGGAGTAAGGTGGAAGACCGCCCCTTTTCATGATAATCTCAGTGGAGCTATTTGAATTGTAAACAACTCATAGGTGTTTATGAATAATGAAAGAATTTTAAAACCTAAGCAGACCACTAAAGACCTTTTTATTAAATTGTATATATATATATATATATATATATATATATATATATATATATATATATATAATTTTGAGACAGAGTCTCACTCCGTGGCCCAGGCTGGAGTGTGGTGGGGTGATCTTGGCTCACTGCAACATCCGCCTCCCAGGTTCAAGCAATTCTCCTGCCTCAGCCTCCCAAGTAGCTGGGATTATAGGTGAGCGCCATCACACCCAGCTAATTTTTGTATTTTTAGTACAGATGGGGTTTTGCCATGTTGGGCAGGCTGGTCTCGAACTCCTGAGCTCAGGTGATCTTGGCCTCCCAAAGTGTTGGGATTACAGGCGTAAGCCACTGCATCCGGCCTAAAGACATTTTTAAACAAAAGACTTGCTAGTCCTCTTAGCCAGACACAGAACAAGTGTGTTAAATAAATAAGACATGAAACATCTAATGGTGACAAGATTTTTTAACAGGCCATGTTAACTGAAATGAGGAGGACACAGAGGGGACAATAGGGTCAGGAAACTTTTTTGAAGGTGTAGTGTTTATATGATGGCACTTCTGCTGACAGCGTCCTCCTCAGAAGTTGCCTGCCCAGGGGCTCTTTAAAACAGACTAGGTGGATTTCCATGTCTGCCCCTGCTTGTTCTTTTTGCCTCGCCAGTTGTCTTGCTCCGATTTCTTCCCAAGTGGGCTTTCATGATGTATTCATGATGAGCCTTCATGACGTACTCTACAAGACTAGCCTTTTAGCAAGAACTTTTATATCTCTGTTAAATGTGACAAGCAGAGAAAAACTGTATAGCCATCACTTAGATGAAATATAGCAATGTGACCAAGCCTATGTTACAAAAATCATGTAGGTTTTACTTATTTTCCTTTCTCTTTGTCCTTAACTTCCTCCAGGCAGGACTGCTTGCATGTAGTCATTTTGGTAGAGGGTAGTCACTAATAAGTGATTAACTTCATATCCTAACCCCCAGGGGCGGCTTGCAAGATTGATGAACTTGTTTTTCTTGTAAAGAACAATGATCCCTGGGTCATGCTGACCTCCTTGATGGCACCCAGAAGTTTGATTGGCCAAGGGATGCAAGCAGCTTTGATAATCAGGGGATCTCACTTCCCATATACCTACCTTACTCATAAAAGCCACTGGTTACGTGCAAAGGGAGGCTGAATTTGAGAATTTGCCTCTCCCACCCTCATGCTTTGGTCAAATTGAATAAACCTTTCTCTGCTCTGAAGCACCGATGTGTCAGTGTTTGGCTTACTGCGCATCAGGTACTTGAACCTAACTTTTGGGGTTCTGCAACAGATTTTGGCAACCATGCCAGGTCTAGCATGGCAATAGGCCCTGGCCAGGTTAGGCGAACGAGTGTCCCAGCAGCTGCCCAAGTGTGTTGGTCAGGGGGCCCTAAAGTCGCTCTTCTAGGTCAGTGTAGGCTGCTGTTGGTACTCTAGAAGCTTAGAGCAGAGAAACATCTCAGACTGCTATCTGGACTTCTGGTTTTGGTTTGAAGGGTAAGTCACTGCGGTGCACACAGCCATATCTCACTCTCTCTGCTTGCATTGTGAAGAGGGCCCTTTTGGGGGAGTAATAGAATGGTGGACTATGCCCATTTTCTTGTTTGCTTTCCTGTAGGGAGTTTGGTTTTCTGTTTGTGATTTTGTTTTGTTGTTGTTGTTGTTTGGTTTGGGGGGTGTGTGTGTGTGTATCTGTGTGTGTGTGTGTGTGTGGTGTGTGTGTTATGTGAAAAGACTGAACAGGGCAAATTTGGAATTGATCCCAGAGAGTAGCATCATTGGCTGCATTCTCCAGAATTGGGCCACTTTCAGCTATGAGCCCATGAAGAAAAATAAAATTTTTTTAACTGTAACGCTGCTTGGCCTCAATATGCCTTAGAATTTGGGAAAAAATGGCTGACAAACAGTTCTTTAAGTTATGCTACTATAATACAACTGCAACTATTCTGTAAGAGCAGAGAAAATAGGATGCAATCCTGTATGTCCAGGCTTTTATACTCTTTTATCAGAATGAACCTACTCAAAAGAGGTATAATTTGATGCTGCAAAAGGAAAAACAGCCCAAACCTAAGGTTTTAGACTCCCACCATTAGGTGGGGAAGACAGGGCACTGCTTGGTGCTTTGAATCCCCTGAATAATCATCCTGATCCTCTGCCCCCCAGTCAGCTATGGCTCCAGCACCTCCACCTCCTTATGGGATTGTCTGGAGCAGGAGGGGAACACTCCCAAACCTGTCCTCCCCATGGAATTAGGACAGGTTGTGGTCTCGCCTTCCTGCAACTGACAGGAAACCCAATTTGGCCTGGGACCCACTGGTCCCTTAGTAGGGCAGTTTCCTCTGTGTCAATTCCCCACTGTGGGACTTGAATGGACAACAGTTTGGCATGATGTGGTTACATTTCCTTTTCCCACTTTGGAGCTGTTCAGTGGGAAAACAATATCTTTGGAAAAACAATAATCCCCCCTATCCCAACCCAAGCAAATGGCTGGGCTATTCTTGTCTATATTTCTGACCTACCACCCGACAAGGGCAGATACTCACTTTGTTAAAGTGCTGCTCACAGCAGAAGAAAGGCATGTAGTCACAGAAAAGGCTAGGGAAGAAGCAAATCGGCTCCATCTGGAGGCAGGAAACAATCACCCCTGGCCAATAGACTCAGTCCCTAACACAGAGACCAGGTGCGATGTAAATGGTGGGGCCTTTCCCACTTAGGACACTATGAGAACCACATCCTTGAAGGTTTGAGGAAAGGGGTTACTCAGGTTAAGAGCCTCAATAAGGTACAGGAAGTACAGCGGCAAGCATATGAGGACCCTTTGTAATTCCCAGAAAGACTCCATCAGACATGTGGAAAGTAGGTTGACGCTAACTAACCCTGAGGCACCGGACAATCAGAGAATGGTCAATGTGACCTTTATCAGCCACAGTGCCCTGATATTCAAAGAAAACTGCAAAAGGTAAATGGGATCCTTGGGTTGCCAATCTCACATTTAGTGGACTTAGCTTTTAAAGTGTACTATGCTCAGGATGAGGCTCAGGAAAGTGCAAATTGAAGCAACAAGTAACTCACTGGCAGCTGTGCTTGACTACCAACCTAGGGGAAAAGGAAGAAATCAAAGAGCGGCTCACGCCCCCTTCAGAAAAAAAACCAATATGCCTATTGTAAGAAGGAGGGACACTGGAAAAAGGGCTGTCCCAAATTGACCAAAGCAGCTAGCAAGTGCAGTGTCCCTCAAAATCAGATGAGGAGAGAGAATAATATTTAGATGAAGACTGATGTGTCCCAGGGACTCCCTTAGACTTGGAGCAACCAGTGGCTATATCCCCACAGGATTCCTAGATACAACTGACAGTGGGGAACAGAATGATTGACTTTTTACTTGACACAGTGCCACATATTAATTAATTAACAATTGTCTCTCTCCAGCTTTGGGAAAAACCATTACTGTTACACGGATATTGGGAGACACCATTATCCCTTTCTACAATCTTCAGGTTACCATTTACGAGAGACCGGCCTAGGGCATAGTTTCTTGTACATGCTTAATGCCCAGTGCCCCTCCTGGGCTGGGATTTGCTTGCCAAATTGTATGCTCAACTTGTCTTTCCCCCCAGATGCCTAGATATAATGATTCCTTCTGAACAAGTTTGCAGGTTTCAAATACTCCTGCTGCAACCAGAAAACGAAGAGGTTCAGGACATTCCAGAAGAAATTCTCACACAGGTAAGGAGAGATGTTTGGGCCCAAGGGAAGCCAGGGAGAGTGGTCACAGCCAAACCCATAAAAATTAAAAGAGAGACACAGAATACCCATTAAAGGAAGTGGCATGAAAGGGTATTCAACCACTCTTGGAAGGCTTTTTTGGCACAAGGACTGATTTGGTCCTGTAATTCTCCCTTTAACATTCCTGTTCTACGGTGGGCAGCAAGCCACCCAGGTGCTGAGGCAAGAGACCGAGGGCACAAGTTGTTCCAGTATAATAAAATATATAAAACAACAAGAGTTATACTAGATCTAAATCATAGACATGATTATATATGAATATCATTAATCATTAGTTTGTAGCAATTACTCTTTATTCCAATACTGTAATAATCCTCGCTCTATAATCATAACCTAGGAAAAACCAGGCCATACAGAGATAGGAACCGAAGGGACATAGTGAGTGAGAAGTGATCAGAAGACAAGAGTGCAAGCCTTCTGTTATGCCCGGACAGGGCCACCAGAGGGCTCCTTGGTCTAGTGGTAATGCCAGCGTCTGGGAAGACGCCCATTGCCAAGCAGACCGTGGTCTAGCAGTAGCATCAGTGTCAAGGAAAAACACCCGCTACTTAGCAGACCGGGAAAGGGAGTCTCCCTTTCCCTGGGGGAGTTTAGAGGAGATTCTACTCCTCCACCTCTTATGGAGGGCCTGACATCAGTCAGGCCCGCCCGCAGTTATCCGGAGGCCTGACCCTGTCTCCCTGTGATGCTGTGCTTCAGTGGTCACGCTCCTAGTCTGCTTTCAAGTTCCATCCTGTACACCTGGCTCTGCCTTTTAGATAACAGTAGCAAAATTAATGAAAGTACTAAAAGTCTCTGATATGCAGAAATAATGGCGTAAGCTGTCTCTCTCTCGCTCTCCCTCTCTCTGCCTCGGCTGCCAGGCAGGGAAGGGCCCCCTGTCCAGTGGACACGTGACTCACGTGACCTTATCAATCACTAGAGATGACTCACACTCTTTACCCTGCCCCTTTTGCCTTGTATCCAATAAATAACAGTGCAGCCAGGCATTCGGGGCTACTACTGGTCTCTGCATCTTGGTGGTAGTGGTCCCCCAGGCCCAGCTGTCTTTTATCTCTTTGTCTTGTGTCTTTATTTCTACAATCTCTCGTCTCCACACATGGGGAGAAAAACCCACTGACCCTGTGGGGCTGGTCCCTACATCTTACCATCATGCAAGTCCCATTAAGACAACTACAGTTTCGGCTGGGCGTGGTGGCTCACGCCTGTAATCCCAGCACTTTGGGAGGCCGAGGCGGGCGGATCACGAGGTCAGGAGATCAAGACCATCCTGGCTAACATGGTAAACCCCATCTCTACTAAAAATACAAAAAAGTTAGCCAGGCGTGGTGGCAGGCACCTGTAGTCCCAGCTACTCAGGAGGCTGAGGCAGGAGAATGGCTTGAACCTGGGAGGCGGAGCTTGCAGTGAGCCGAAATCGTGCCACTGCACTCCAGGCTGGGTGACAGAGCGAGATTCGTCTCAAAAAAAAAAAAGACAACTACAGTTTGTACAAGACTTAGGGCCAGTAATGAAACAGTCTAGGACATACACCCTATGGTAACTAACCCCTATAGCTTGCTGATCACTTTGTCAGGAGAACTAGGTTGGTTTACAGATTTGGACTGTAAAGATGCCTTATTTTGCATTAGACAAGGAGACACAAGAGATCTTTGAATTTGAATCTCTGAGGCTGGGACACAGGTCAATCAGCAGTACTGTTATCTCAAGGATTTAAAAATTCCCCCACAATCTTTGGGAAATTTTTGGCATGGAACTTAACGGACATCTGGCTGACAGAAGGAACGCTTTTACAATATGTGGATGAAATCTGTGTTGCAAGACCTTCAGAGCTTTCCTTGAAAATACCATTCAAATACTGAATTTCCTAGTGGTAACAGGCTACTGGGTTTCCAAAAAGAAAGCCCAGATCTGCCAAAAGATAGTAAAATACTTAGGGTTTGAACTGAATAAGGGGCATAGAAACCTTCCCCCAGGCCACCTGGAGGCAATCGTCTGGGTAGCTGTCCCCATCTCCTGTAAACAACTGCAACGGTTTCTAGGAATGATGGGATTCTGTTGAATTTGGATTTTGAATTTTGGACTTACGGTAAAACTCCTTTATGAGGCCCTAAAAGGAAAAAATTCTGAGCCCCTGATCTGGACTTCAGAATGCCAAAATTAAAAGTCAAAGAGGCTGAGCACGGTGGCTCATGCTTGTAATCCCAGCACTTTGGGAGGCCGAGGCAGTCAGATCACTTGAGGTCAGGAGTTCGAGACCTGCCTGGCCTACACGGCAAAACCCTGTCTCTACTAAAAAATACAAAAATTAGCTGGGCATCGTGGTGGGTGCCTGTAATCCCAGCTGCTCAGGAGGTTGAGGCTGGAGAATCCAGGAGGCAAAGGTTGCAGTGAGCTGAGATCGTGTCACTGCACTCCAGCCTAAGTGACAAGAACAAAACTCCATGTCAAAAAAAATAAATAAGTAAATAAAATAAAGTCAAAGAAAAGTTAAAGACTGCCTCTTTGCTGGGCCTTCCAGATTTAAGAAAGCCCTCTAATTTAGTTGTGCACAAAAAACAAGCCATGGGCTTGGGTGTCCTAACTCAAAGCTTGGGAACTGACTGAAGACTGATTGCCTATTTCTCTGAACAGTTTGACCAGGTGGTGAGGGTTGGTCCCCCTGCCTCCGAGCAGTGGCTGCAACTTGCAACCTCTTCTAGGAGGCTGAAAAGCTAACTCTAGCTCAGCTCATCACTGTCCACACACTGCATCACATCTCCTGTCTCTTAGATCAAAAAGGTGGATACTGGCTGACCTCTGAGAGGTTGGGAAAATACCAAGCCATCCACCCTCCTTGACAATCCAGAGGTGAAGTTAAAGGTGTTCTCGGTTCTTAACTCTGCTACCTTAATACCTCCAGAGAAGGAGCCAGGGCCCATACAAAATTGCCTTCCAATTAATGAGCAGGTCTTTCCAAGGCAACCAGACCTGGCAGATCAGCCCCTGCTGTGCTCCAAACTAGGACTGTTCACAGATGCAAGCAGCTTCATGGACCATGGACATCATCATGCTGAATTTGAGGTCATTACCTTACAAGGAATTAAGGAAGCCAAAGCCTTATTGCTAGGCACCTCAGCTCAGTGGGCCAAGGTGCCCTTATGCATGCCCTCCAATTGGGTAAGAAAAAAAATTATGAATATTTACATAGACTCCCAATATGATTTCTTGGTGGCACATGCCCACAGAGCTATGTAGAGAGAGGTCTTTTGACTAGCAAAAATAAAGAAATCAAATATACTTCTGATATTTTGGCCTTATTAGAATCTGTAAAAGGCCAGGCATGGTGGCTCATGCCTATAATCCCAGCACTTTGGGAGGCTGAGGCGGGTGAATCACCTAAGGTCAGGAGTTCAAGACCAGCCTGGCCAACATGGTGAAACCTCGTCTCTACTAAAAAATATAAAAATTAGCCAGGCACGGTGACACATGCCTGTAGTCCCAGCTACTTGGGAGGCTGAGGCAGGAGAATCACTTGAACCCGGGAGGCAGAAGTTGCAGTGAGCCGAGATTGTGCCACTGCACCCTAGCCTGAGCAACAGAGTGAGACTCTATCTAAAAAAAAAAAAAAAAAAAAAAAAAAAAAAAAAAAAATCAGTAAATGCCCCCTCTAATAGTGGCTATCATCCACTGTCCCAGCCATCAAAAAGGAGACTCCCGAATAGTCAAAGGAAATTAGCTTGCCGACCTGGCAGCCAAGCAAGCCACAAAAACATTGGACTCTGAGGCTTTCTTAGCCCCACTAATACCTCACAATGATCTGACCAAGTTCCAACCTTGCTATACCAAAGGAGATTTAAAGTGAGCCAAGGAATGGGGATTCACATCCCAGCCCTGGCCCATCCAGGCTGGAAATGTAATCTGGAAGGTATCGTATTGGTTCCCAGTGCCCTCCTTAAAGATATAGTGAGCTAGTTTCATCAAAGCATCCATTACAGAAAAGATGCAACCCTTCAATGGCATGTGAGTTCTTGATTGACCCCGACATGCAATGGGGTCATTCAAAATGTGATCTATCAATGCATGCTTTGTGCCCAAACTGCCCTAAAACTGACCCCACCCCTGTTCAAGGGTACAACATTGAGGAGACTCTCCATGCAAGGACTGGCAAGTTAATTTCACCACAATGCCACGGGTGCCTGGAGGCTACAGGGCATCTTTTTGTACAAAAAACATCTTTTTGTTTTTTGTAGACACATTTACAGGATGGGTAGAGGCATACCCTATCCGAACAGAAAGGGAGCTGAAGTGGCCCACACTATACTAAAGAGATAATTCCCCAGTATGAACTCCCTTTGACGATTCAGAGTGACCATGGTGCGGTGTTCATCTCTCAGGTAGTACAGGAAGTGTCTCAAGTCCTAGACATTGAATGGAAACTTCATGCAGCACAGCCACAGCCCACCGGAAAGACTAAAAAACTGAATCAAACTATTTAAAGAACAATTAGGCCAGGTGTGGTGGCTTATACCTGTAATCCCAGCACTTTGGGAGGCCAAGGCAGGTGGATTATTTGAGCCCAGGAGTTTGAGACCAGCCTGGCCAACATGGCAAACCCCATCTCTACTAAAAATACAAAAAAATTAGCTGGACGTGGAGGCGCATGCCCTTAGTCCCAGCTGCTTGGGAGGCTGAGGCACACGAATTGCTTGAAGCCGGGAGGTAGAGATTGCAGTGAGCCGTGATCATGCCACTCCACTCCAGCCTGGGCGACAGAGTGAGACTGTCTCAAAAACAAAAAAAACAAAAAAACAAAAAAAAAAAACTGCTGCTAAAGTGTGCCAGGAAACTAATCTAACTTGGGACAAAGTACTACCTTCTCTCCTGCTGAGGATTTGGGTCATTCCCTGAAACAGGCTCTAGTTGAGCCCTTTAGAAATTATGTATGAGAGACCCTTCCTAGCCACATTGGGGCTAGATCAGGCTATAAAATCTTAGAAAGGGAAGGAGCTATTAGACATTATTTAAAATTGCTAAATGAAATACCGACTTCTGTTCATGAGTTTGCTTCTTCCCCATGGACAGGCCACCTCACCCTTTCTAGGCTAGAGACCAAGTTCTACTTAAAACCTGGAGGGAGACTGGACTGAATCACCAACTAGCCCCTCAAAGGGTAAGACCCTATGAGGTCCTTCTGACCACGCATTCATCAATTGGGCAGGAGTTAAACCGTGGGTACATTATACCTGGATAAAAATTGCCCCCGCCTCAGCCCGACCTATCAGGTTAATAGACCTGAAAGGACATGTGAACCAACTAAAAACCTGAAGCTGCTTTTGAAGAAAACATCCACAGATAAGTAAAGCCTTCTTGCTAAGCACCACAGTACTATATGGCTTACGGTGTCTGCTGAAACCAATCTTTTCCTACAATGGGCACATTATGCAGATAGCCTACAGAAGCTCGTAGGGTTTGAGGGCTGTTACCTATCTCTAGCATGTTGGTATTACCTTGGTCGGTCTTGCTCTTACAAGGAAACAACTGAGTACAGTAACAAACTTTTATGAAAAACTATTCCAAAGAAAATCAGGTCTCTGGTGTGCTAACACGAGGAAATGTAAGGCTATGGCCTGGCATTAATATAACCCTTCACAACCCAGGTCACAGAAAATCTTTTACTATATATCAGACTGTTCAACGAACTTTTGAATACACTGCTCCTCCTCTCCTGAAGGAATTTCCCTTGGCAGCCCCCCAAATTTTGGCTATTAATAGCCACTATACTGAGGAAGGTTTTTATCAAGCTTGGGATGATTATCTTTGAATGACTGTGTTCCCCTACCCTTATCCTGCCACCGGCCACATAAATCAAATTGCCCCTTTATGTTGGGAACAACAACAAAAAAAAAAACAGCATTCTTATGATAACTGGCCAAATATCACTAAGAATATGGGCTGGATGCTCCCCCCACCAGTGTGAACATACTCCAGGGCTGCAACAAACTGACTGGTTTGCTACCAATTGGACACAGGCCAGGAATTCAATTGGCTAGCTTCATACGGAGTGCAATGGCTATGTGGGACTAATCTTTGGCCCTGATTACCCATTGGCTAGATAGGACAATATGCTCTGGGATTCTCACAGGTCCAGGGCCATTTGGCAAAAACCAACGGACAACCTGGAAATTTCCCAAATGTGTTGCATCAACGGACCAAGTCAGTTTTCCACTGGTATGACCATCCCCTCTCCATTTTTGTTCCCCAAGTTAGTTTAAAAAATGTTATCTGACATGTTGAGATCCTAACAAATTATACCCAGCATGTGCTGAAGGATGCATTCAAAGGCATCTCTTTAGTCACCTCTCAGATGACTATGATGAAAAAAGCAGTTTTGTAGAACCACATGGCCCTTGATGTCTTCACAGCTACACAAGGAGAACTTGTGCCATAATGAAAACTGAATGCTATGTGTACATTCCAGACAATTCAGGAAACATCACCCTGGCCCTTCAAGATATGTACAAACTGATGCTGTGTCCAACCTCATGATGTCACTAAACCAATGATTATCTTAATACTTCCGGTCAGTACCCTCTTGGTGGAAAAAATTACTGGTAATTCTAGCTATGACTATAGGAACAGGAATACTCCTTGGCTGTGGATTATACTGCTGTGGCACTATATATGTGGGATTGCAAGATCGCCCTTCTCAAGCTCCTGACACCCTGTTCAACAATGTTACAACAAAATTGCCTAAGTCCCGGGACATGTGAATATTTTCAACTGCAGGTAAGTAAGTTCCATTCCTCAGCCCCCTAGGAATGCCCCTTGCCAGCGGGAAGTAGTTAGACTGAGTCAACACCCCAACTGAAGATTGAGGAAAGGAACAGTGTCAGTGGGGATACTGTAACCCAGCCTATATTAGAAAAATCATCAGGTGTTTATTTTACTTATTTTTCTTTCTCTGTCCTTAGCTTCCTCCAGGCAGGATCGCTCGCACGTAGTCATTTTGGTAGAGAGCAGTCACTAACAAGTGATTAACTTTATATCCTAACCCCCAGGGGCTGCTTGCAAGATTAACGTACTTGTTTTTCTTTTAAAGAACAATGATCCTTAGGTCATACTGACCTCCCTGATGGCATCCAGAAATTTGACTGGCCAAGGGACACGAGCAGCTTTGATCATCAGGGAAAGCCCCCAATTACATGCAAAGGAAGGTCATATTTGAGAATCTGCTTCTCCCACCCTCATACTTTGGCCAAATTGAATAAACCTTTCTAAGCATTAATGTGTCAGTGTTTGGCTTACTGTGCACCGGGTACATGAACCTAACTTTTGGGGTTCTACAACAGCAACCTGACTGAGCTAATCACGTACAGCCAAGAACAGCTGAGCTACAGTAGCTCCTTAAAATCAGGGTCCAGATGTTGTTCATAGATGAGAGAAGAGAAAATAACTATCACATGCAGCATCAGACATTCAATGACACAAATCCTCAAAATCAGATGCTTTAAAAAATGAAGCCAATGGCTGGGCATGGTGGCTCATGCCTGTAATCCCAGCACTTTGGGAGGCCAAGGCAGGAGGATCGCTTGAGCTCAGGAGTTCAAGACCAACCTGGGCAACAAAGTGAGACCTTATCTCTATCAAAAATTTAAAAATAAATTAATTAAAATAATTTAAAAATGAAGCCAGGTTGCTCAAGTATTCATCAAGTATTTACTGAGGCTTACTATGTGTTATGATGATGAGACACTTCTTTGAGCCATCAAAGGTTTCTGGCTTCCTCTGCAACTAAAAATAATTACCCTCCCCAATGAAGGGTCTGTGTGTTCCACAGGTATAGCAGCAGAAGAGACAACTTGGAAAAAGTGAAGGTAGGCCAGGCACAGTGGCTCATGGCTATAATCCTAACACTTTGGGAGGCTGAGGTGAGTGGATTCGCTTGAGCTAAGGAGTTTGAGACCAGCCTGGGCAACATGGCAAAACCTGGTCTCTATTAAAAAAAATACAAAAAATTGGCCAGGCATTGTAGTCCACACCTGTAGTCTCAGCTACTAGGGAGGCTGAGGTGGGAGGATCACTTCAGCCAGGAGGCAGAGGCTGCAGTGAGCCTAGATGGCACCACTGCACTCCAGCCTGGGTGACAGAGCAAGACCCTGTCTCAAAAAAAAAAAAAAAAAAAAAGGTAAGCCACAACTCCACTTAAGAGGAGAGGCAACTGGAGAAAGATCCCAGGAGGTTATATTCAACAACGGAGCAATAACACAGTAGTCTTGCTAGACATCCACAGCCTTTAAATGGACATATTCTACTCTGTTTATCACCTTTATAAAAGTTTTCAAGTTTTCTGGATAGTTCTACTCAGTTGATGGCAATTACCCTGCCAGGTAACTTACTCACTATAATTGAATAAACCAGCAATCTGGTTTATCAGTCAGTCTCTCTTGCTCAATTGACAATCCCTAAAAGTTCATCCATTCCTGTGTGAGACCGTATATCTGACAATTCAGTCAAAGGAAGTTGGTCAAATCCCACAACTGACTGCCAAAGAAAGTAATATCTAATCACAAAAATACCACAATTAATTACAGGTAGTAACTAGGTTCTAAAGAAATTATCTCCTAAGTAGATTTTAATATAAATTTTGAACAGTTATAGAAAATAAAGATGGCCTTTGGGTCAATAACAGAACATAACAAAAACACTAAAAATTTCTGTACATAAACACACGCATATCACAAGTCTAGTCAGAAAGAAATACATAGAAAAACAAGATAGAATTTTAAAAATAATTTGCAAGGGAAGTTCTCAATGCTTCAGTTCTAAAATATTGTCTTCTTTTAGAAAAATTTAAGACTGGAATAACAGATTGTTTTTCCTGCAATGCTGTAATTACTGCAAATTTATCAGCAAAGAGGTAAACAGCAATGCAATTTTTCCTTAAGCTTGAATACATAAGGGAACAATAAAGAAACCTGATTAGACCTGAACTAATTAAAAGTCACACCAGTAATTTTCAGGCCAGCTCTGGTCTCCAGGTAGAATTCCAGGACAGGTTTGTATCACTGGGTCCATTCCCAACAGGCTGGATAGGAGAGTCTGGAGTAATTATAAGGATACCACCTTCTTCTATCCTGGGCTGCCCGACTGGCATTGGGCTTCACATTCCAAGAATACCTCCTGTGTGAATAGTCCTCTCCAGGGGGACCAGGAGGAGGGAGATGGTGTCTCTGGTAAACATGTGGATTCTCTGAAAATTTTCTTAAAGCAAAACAAAAAGTAATAAGCCATTACTAGGATTAATACAATAATTTTTATTTATTTTAAATTTATATTTTCATAAAATATTTTAAATTTATAAATTTACAAAATAATATATATTCTACTGTTTCCTACCTGTGTGACCTAAGCAGATAAAATACTTAATTGTTATTTCCCTAAGTTCTTTATAAAATGGGGCTAATAATACTTTTCACCTTCACGAGCTGTTATGAAGCTAAATTAAAAAAATACATTTCAATTACCTACAATGCCCTGGCACACCGTGGATTCCCAGAAGCCTTTCCACCTTTCCCTACAGAGATAAATGCATGCCCATACTATTCTAATCAAATACTTTCTCTCCCAAAGTCTGGCAGGGTTGACATAAGACAGAATAAGCTAGTTAGTACTGAGAACAGATATCTGCTTCCACTTTATAAACGAACATACATAAATTAATTATGAAGTGTGAAAAACTTTAAGCATGGTATATGCAACAAATTTGAAAAATTAGGATTTAAATTAACTTGTTTCAAAAGCAAGACCAGAAAATCTCATATAATTATACAAAAGAAAATTTGGGGCTGGGCGTGGTGGCTCGCACTTGTAATCCCAGCACTTTGGGAGGCCAAGGCGGGCGGATCACCTGAAGTCGGGAGTTCAAGACCAGCCTGACTAACATGGAGAAACCCCATCTCTATTAAAAATACAAAGTTAGCCAGGTGTGGTGGTGGGAGCCTGTAATCCCAGCTACTGGGGAGGCTGAGGCAGGAGAATCATTTGAAACCGGGAGGTGGAGGTTGCGGTGAGCTGAGATCACACCATTACACTCCAGCCCGGGCAACAAGAGCAAAACTCCATCTTACAAAAAAAAATAAAGAAACTTTGGAAATATGAGAAAAGAAAAACCCCCCACTGCAGAGCCCTCAATCCCACTTACTATAATTCAATTAGTTAGTATTTCCTTTTGTTCTTTTCCCCAGCATCTTTTTCTGACTGTTGAATCACAGCCTATTAGTTTCACTTATCATAAATGAGCTAACACTTCCAATGGCTTTATAAAATGTTATAGTATGGATATAATTATTTAGCTACATTCTCCACTGTTAGAAATATAGCAGCTACAAGTTTTTCCACAACCACAAATAATGCTGGGATTAACACTGCAAAACATATACTACTGTATCCTGAGCTAGCCCAGCATCTGACACATGGAAGGGAGTTTGAGAAATGTGCTGAATGATTAAGTAAATATAGCTTTTTCTGTACTTTGAAGTATTTCCTTAAGTCTCAGAATGAAATTACTAGGTAAAGTATTTTTATGGCTCTTGAAATTGTGCTTCAAAAGGCTTATACCAATTTTCAATGCCGCAAGTGACATGTTTTTTGAAATGTTTGTTTACATCTTTTAAAAATGTCAATTTTTTTAAAGTTTCTTTTTTCTTTTTTTAATAAAAACAGGATTCCAGCATGTTGCCCAGGGTGGTCTCAAATTCCTGGGCCCAAGCAGTCCTCCCACCTTGGCCTCCCTAAGTGCTGGGATTACAGGTGTGAGCCAATGCACCTGGCCTAAAAATGGCAATGTATTTTTGAAAGTGTTTACAACGTGCTAAACTGTTTAAATTCATGTTAACTGTCAATAACAACCACTATGGGGTATGTATTATTAAAATATCTATCTGACTAATGGGAAAAATGAAATGTAGATAGGCTAAGTATCTTATCCAAGATCACAAAGCAGGTGAGTAACAAAGCCAACATGCAAATCCAGGTCCAGCCTGACAACCACTACAATGGAGTGCTTATCAAAAACTGTTGCTAAACTGGCTGGGCGAGGTGGTTCATGCCTGTAATCCCAGCACTTTGGGAGGCCGAGGCAGGCAGATCACCTGAGGTCAGGAGTTCAAGACCAGCCTGGCCAACATGGTGAAACCCCCATCTCTACTAAAATACAAAAGTTAGCTGGGCGTGGTGGCAGTGCCTGTAATCCCAGCTACTCGGGAGGCTGAAGCAGGAGAACTGCTTGAACCTGGGAGGTGGAGGTTGCAGTGAGCCAAGACTGCACCACTGCACTCCAGTCTGGGCGACAGGGTGAGACTCTGTCACCAAAAAAAAAGCAAACAAAACTGTTGCTAAATTAATAGGCAAGAATAATAGCTTGCTATTTGTGATAGTTAATTTTAGGTGTCAAGTTGACTGGGTTAAGAGATATCTAGATAGCTGGTAAAGTATTATTTCTGGGAGTGTCTGTGAGGGTGTGTCCAAAGGATACTGGTGTGTGAGTGGGTGGACTGAGTGGGAGGATCCACCCTCAGTTTGCGTAGGTACCATCCAATAGGCTGGGGGCCTGGATACAACAAAAAGGCAGAGGAAAGGCAAATTGTGTTCTCTCCTGGAGCTGGAATACCTTACCTTCTTCTCCTACTCTTGGACATTAGAACTCCAGGCTTCATGGCCTCTGGACTTGAGGACTCATACCAGTGTCCTCCAACCCTTACCAGATTCCCAGGCCTTCAGCCTTGGATTGAGAGTTACTCCACTGGCTTCCGTGGTTCTGAGGCTTTCTGAGTTGGACTGAATGCTACCAGCTTCCCTGGTTCTCCAGTTTGCAGACAGCCTACTATGAAACTTCTCAGCTTTCACAAGTGCATAAGCTGATACCCCGAATAAAAAAGCTCCTCCTCCCATCCACCCACCCATCCACCCATCCATCTATCCATCCATCCATCCATCCATCCATCCATCCATCCTACTGGTTCTATCATTCTGGAGAACTCATACTAATGTACCACTTTAACCATACTGAGGTCTTCCCCATTTTCCAAGTGAAAATACTTTTGTCGTTTTATCTGTTCAGATCCTTTGCTATTTCTCTATTAGGATTTTATTATTTTTCTTATAATTCATATCAACTCCTTAAATAACAATCTTCCTTATTCTAAAAACTATACTACATTAATGTAGCCTAAGAATATAAGATCCTTTTTGATAGCCACATCAAACTCTTGGCTTAAGTTTAAAATCAATCAAAATTTCTAAGTCCCTTTCCGAATTGCCTCTGAAAAGTCACATATTCCCTGTCCTGTAACTGATTTTCCAGTGCTAAATGCAAAATACAGAGCAGAATAATATCTCCTGGTTCAAACTGAACAGCAAGAATTCCTTATCGGCCAGGCGCGGTGGCTCACGCCTATAATCCCAGCACTTTGGGAGGCTGAGGCGGGTAGATCACAGGGTCAGGAGATCAAGACCATCCTGTCTAACATGGTGAAACCCCATCTCTACTAAAAATACAAAAAATTAGCTGGGCATGGTGGCGGGTGCCTGTAGTCCCAGCTACTCAGGAGGCTGAGGCAGGAGAATTGCTTGAACCTGGGAGGTGGAGGTTGCAGTGAGCCGAGATCGCGCCATTGTACTCCAGCCTGGATGACAGAGCGAGACTCTGTCTCCAAAAAAAAAAAAAACGAAGAATTCCTCATCAGTATCATAATGTGTTTTCATTAACTATAGTATTAATTTCTATCTCAATTCTAGAAAAGGGAAAACAGAGAGAGGTACCTGACTGATTGTTGCAAACTTTGGGTCTGGGTGTGGAAATGTCGAGGAGCTGAGTGACCCTGGATCTGATGTAGATTATACCTAGGTCCTTGTTTAACAGGCTTATTGTGGACTGGTTGCATGAGATGTGCTGAGTCTTCAAAATCACTTGACCTGGGTACACTGGAATTCCAATTCCTTAAAGAGAATATTTTCCACACAATATTACTGGTTTCCAAATTTAGTAGTCAATTTAGTGACTATATTTTGGCATATGAAAATAACAATTTCTTCCTTCTCCCATTCCTATTTGTTTACATCTCCCCCCAACAAACAAACAAGCTACCAGAAGAATGAACATATGCAACTTAAATTACATAAACAGAGATCTCCCTGACCCACAAATCTCACATATATAACATAAGACTTACTTTCTGATAGGACCATTCTGAAGGTCTTCAATGTAGTTTTGTCTTTCTAAGCAATGTCCCCGGCACCTATTGAATACTGAGGAGAGGATAAACTGTTAGAAATAACTGTACAAAAAGCAGATCTTTCCAGAAAAAGCAAATTAAGCTGAAATTCACTATTCAAGCTGTTATATCTCACTACTTCCACATACATCTATAGACTTTTGGCAAGACTATCTTATATTGGAACAAACGAATTACAAACTTCTTTTTTTCCAAAATTTGATAAATTCTTCTACATTTCCACCTTTAACTTTAATAAAAGGGAAAAATAGTGTCAACCCTCATACTTACATTCAATTGCATCATCTGGCCTCACGCCTTCTACATCAATCAAATATCTAACAAAACAACATAATTTGGGTCATTTATATACGAAAAGAAAAAAATCAAGTTTTTTCAAAAAAGGTCCAATTTCAACTTATAGACATAGATATAAAAATCCTAAGAAAATATCAGCACATCAAATCCAGCAGTTATTAAAGAATGACATACCATGACCACAAAAAGACGTTTTTCAAGAATGCAAGGATGACCCAACTCCAGAAAATCTATTTATATATTTATTTACATTAATGTAATTTAATAAACAAAAGGAAAGAAAATGCAGAATCATTTTTTATCAAAATGCTTTATACACTAAAAATAGAGACTTCCTTAATATGACAGAGTATTTATCAGAAACCAACAATGAACAAAAGACAAATTGGGAAAAATATTAACATTATATCTAAAAAATACTGTATAACCAACAGAATGGGCCAGAAACTTGGGAGTCACCATCACTGTCAGCCATTTCTTCCAAACTCTCATATTCAATTCACCACCAACTCCTGACAACAATATTACCTAAATATCTCTATAGAGTATATCTGTATCTTTCTACCAAAATGACCACCATGCCCTGGTCCAATCCACCATTATGCCTCAGTTCCTACAAACACCTCCCAACTTGTCTCCTTGCTTCTACCTCTTTCCCTCTGCAGTGTATTCTCCACTCAGCAGCAAAATGATAGGTTGAAAATACAAATTTGAATGTGTTCCCCACACTCATCCCCAACAAAAAAAATTCAATGGTTTTCTATTGCTCTTAAGGTAGTGACTAAAACCTTAAACATAGCTCTGCATGGTTTCAGCTCCTATTCATATTTCCAGCTCCATTTTAACGCCATACTACCCCCATGGCCCAGTCTCCCTAGCCAGTTCCTCCAACACAGTATATATTTTCCTGTTAATATGGTCTCTGCTGATCCTTACGTTCAGAATTCTCTCCACAACATCCCTACCTGGTTAACACCTACTTATACTTCAGATATTTGCTCAGACCTCCCCACAGAAACCTCTAGTCCTCTTGTTGAAGTCAAATCCTCCCTATTCTATGCTCTCATTGTACCATGTCACTCCCCTTCTCAGCACTTGTTGGAATTGTAATTGTATAGGCATTTGTGTGATTCTTTAATATCTACTCCCTCCCTAGACTGTTAGGACGCACAAAGGGCAGCTAAAGTCTCTTTGCTAACACGCAGCACACTGCTTACACATAATAGATGCTCAGGAGATATTTTCTGAATGAACAAACATAACTCAGTACAGTGTGGCAACATCCATAAAAAGCATAACGACACATACTATTTGATTAAGAAATTCTATTTTGAGTGAAATTACCTCCGGGGCTATGAGATATGCATTCAAAAATATTTACATAGAAATGTTCACTACTTCAATGTTTTATAATATCAAAAACTTCTGACTTTTGTGTTCATCGGTGTGCAAAGAACAACGCAGGCCTTAAAAAGAATAAGGAGTCTGGCCAGGCGCGGTGGCTCACTCCTGTAATACCAGCACTTTGGGAGGCCGAGGCGGGTGGATCACAAGGTCAGGAGATCAAGACCATCCTGGCTAACACGGTGAAACCACATCTCTACTAAAAATACAAAAAATTAGCCGGGCGTGGTGGCGGGCACCTGTAGTCCCAGCTACTTGGGAGGCTGAGGCAGGAGAACGGCGTGAACCTGGGAAGCAGAACTTGGAGTGAGTCGAGATGGTGCCACTGCACTCCAGCCTGGGTGACAGAGCAAGACTCCGTCTCAATAAAAAAAAAAAAAAAAAGAATAAGGAGTCCAAGTATTTTCAAAGAAAGATGTCTATCACATATTAAATTAAAAAACAGAATGTCTAACTATTATACCATTCAATAACATGTATGCTTGTATCTGCATTTTTAGAGTCTGAAAAGATGTGTACTAAATTATTAATGGTGGTAATCTCTGGGTGGGGAGCAAGACTGCCTTCTACTTCATGTATTTCTATACCAGTTCCATTTTTTACAACCTTACATTACCATTGTAAACAGACAAAAACAATTTAAAATGGTCTGCCTCTGGGGTTGGCAACTTACCTGCAAATGAGGTAGCCAGTCCTGTTTAAACCATGGGTACAGTGGACACCAATAAGTTTATCTATAAAAAGAAAATACAGGGTTAAGTAACTGAAGTAGATACACAAGTATATAACATTATCACTGCCCTGAAAATGAATAACTCTTAAGAGGAATTGTTTTTTCTAGGAACATACTATAAAGAATCATCTAACAGAAAGCCAAAACTCACTGCTTCTGGGAAACTTTGCATAGTCCCAATTAGACTCAGTGATGTAAACTGCAAGCCTGGTCAGACACTAACAGCTAAAACTGCAATGAGACAAACCCGTCTATCTTAAAACAGAATGCCCATCAGCAACTGATTTAATTATACAAAAAGGGAGTGAAAGCAACAACAGGCTAAGAGAAGAATGAAATTTGTTTCTGAATCAAACAAATAAAAGGCCTTCACTCTTGATACTGAATATTAAGGACAGTTTCCATAGTACTCTTGAGTTCCCGAAGAGCTTCTATTCCTTCTCTTGTTCGGTGCTCCACACATACCACAGGTCTACCTGCCCTGTGAAGTACTCAGGTAAATAGCACTATTCACATTTTACAATGAAAAGGCAAGGCTTGGAGATGTAAGTCAAAGCAGGCAAATAGTACAAGACTAGAATCAAGTCTAAGATTTTTCCCATTACACCACAGTATTTCTTAGTCCATCTTTTTAAAAAATTACATGAGGAATTAAATAAAAAAAAGTGTAGTTTATCTTTGCAAAATCTGTGTCCATGACTAGGTAGTGTCTGGTAAAGAAGGCACTCATCAGCCAGGTGTGGTGGCTCACGCCTGTAATCCCAGCACTTTCCAACCTGGCCAACATGGCGAAACCACGTCTCTACTAAAAGTACAAAAAATTAGCTGGGTATTGTGGCGGGAGCCTATAATCCCAGCTACTCAAAAAAAAAAAAAAGAAAGAAAGAAAAGAAAAAAAGAAGGCACTCTGCCGGGCATGGTGGCTCACGCCTGTAATCCCAGCCCTTTGGGAGGCGGAGGTGGGTGGATCATCTGAGGTCAGGAGTTCGAGACCAGCCTGGCCAATATGGTGAAACCCCATCTCTACTAAAAATACAAAAACTAGCCAGGTGTGGTGGTGGGTGCCTGTAATCCCAGCTACTCGGGAGGCTGAGGCAGCAGAATTGCTTGAACCCAGGAGACGGAGGTTGCAGTGTGCCAAAATGGTGCCACTGCGCTCCAGCTTTGGCGACAGAGTGAGACTCCATCTCAAAAAAAAAAAAAAGAAAGAAAAAAGAAGGCACTCATCATCGCCAGCCTGGATTACTACAACAAACTAATCTCCCTACTTCTATCTCAACTGATCCTCCATATGGCAGATGTTATCTTTCTAAAACATAAGCCTGGCTGGGTTGTTTTTGCTTAAAAATCTCAATTTAGCATAGCATGAAGCCCAAATTTAGCATGGCATTTAGAATCCTTCATAAACTGGTATCAATCTGTCTTTCCAACCGATCTAAGTCCACAATGATCCTAACTATGATTTACAAGGGCTGATATGATCCACCTCCCTTCTGCCCAGCCCCAACCTCTCTGATCCCGTTTCTCCTGCTCTTACCCTCACTCACTCCACTCCAGCCACACTCGGCTCTGTAACATTCCTCAAACATGCCTAGCATAGTCATGCCTCAGGGACTTTGCACCTGCTGTTCCCTCTGCCTTAGGACATTCCTCCCCAGACACCCAATGGCTTGGTTCATTACTTCCTTTAAGGTTCTGCTCAAATGACATCTTCATAAAGAGGCCTTCCTGATCACTCACCTCTTCCCTCATCCCTTTATCATGTTTTGTTATTCTCCAAAGCACTTATCACCATATATATTCCATGTATTTATTTGCTTATTTCTCTCCCCGACTAGAATGTAAAGTATATAAGGGCAAGGACTTTGTTCTATTTCCACTTTCTAGAAAAGTGACTTCAACATAGGTTATATAATTATTTGTTGCAAATGAACATATGAATTCCATGCCTTTTCACATTATCTTCTAGTCACACAAGAGGCTGCCTCTCCATGGCTTTAGGCCCTGTGCCTTTTGTGCCTAATCCCCAAAACTGGGCTGCCCTTTTCTCATACTGGCAAAATTCTCATCCCTGCAGCTCGAATGTTGTCTCCTGTCAGGCCTTCCTCAATCTCTCCTCTATATTCTCACTGCACTTAATTTATTCTTTTATTATGATGAACTGTCTTTTTTGTTCTTTTTTTTTTTGAGATGGAGTCTCGCTCTGTCGCCCAGGCTGGAGTGCAGTGGCGCAATCTCGGCTCACTGCAAGTTCCGCCTCCCAGGTTCACGCCATTCCCCTGCCTCAGCCTCCCGAGTAGCTGGGACTACAGGCGCCCGCCACCATGCCTGGGTTATTTTTTTTTTTTTTTGTATTTTTAGTAGAGATGGGGTTTCACCATGTTAGTCAGGATGGTCTCGATCTCCTGACCTCATGATCTGCCCACCTCGGCCTCCTAAAGTGCCGGGATTACAGGCATGAGCCATCGCGCCCGGCTTTTTTGTTCTATAATTAACCCACATCTTTTTTTTTTTGAGACAGGGTCTTGCTCTGTCCCCCAGGCTGGAGTGCAGTGGCGCCATCTCCGCTCACTGAAAGCTCCGCCTCCCGGGTTCACGCCATTCTCCTGCCTCAGCCCCCCGAGTAGCTTGGACTACAGATGCCTGCCACCACGCCTGGCTAATTTTTTGTATTTTTAGTAGAGATGGGGTTTCACCGTGTTAGCCAGGATGGTCTCGATCTCCTGACCTCGTGATCCGCCCACCTCGGCCTCCCAAAGTGCTGGGATTACAGGCATGAGCCACCGCGCCCAGCCTAACCCACATCTTAAACCACATGCACTACATATTTATTTTCCTAGATAACTGTGAACTGCTATAACAAAAAACAAAGACTGCTATCATCTCTGTGTCTTCATGCTCTAACAACAAATCTAAAAGGATCTCAGTGTTTACTGAATCAATTTATTTTCTCAGTCCCTACTAGTTCTAGAAGCGAGTGGAGAGTGTAGTGTCCTCTTTTTATCAGTGAGCCTGTTATCTGTGGGAAGGGATTATAGCAGAGGTAGCCAAAACTGATTATAAACAAGGTCCCAAGCCTGCTATGGCAGTGAGTACTGCAAGACTTAGACAGTCAGCACCACTCAGGCAGAAGACCAACATGGAGTTCAGTCTATCCAACTGACTACAATCAGTATAACGTGAACAACTAAGATTTAAAAATGTGTTCTCATGTATTCATAAGGACCTCCTAGCCCTCACAGAACAGATGAAGTGCTATATAAAAATTTCACAGAAAAGAGCCTGGAAGCAGTGAATAGGCCATCAGCTGTACCCTCATATCTTAAAAGGTAGTATTTCTGTGACAACAGCTTATACAAATGGGAAAGCCAAACCTCTCAAGTTTTAAAGTTAAAGTACAGGGGAAGATCTGTGAACAAGGTTTAACATAATTAAAAGCTAGTGTCCACATTAAGTGAGCGACTAGGTTACAATTTGAAATTTTATCTTCAAACCCACTGATCCAGTCTCTATCTCTCACCTTCCATTCCCTATCTTCCCACCTCTGTCTCTATTCTTTCTCCACTACTCCATCACATTTTTTAAAAAGGAGTATTTACTGTCAGATTTATGTAACAAAGTGTACACTCCTCAAGCTAAATTTGGAAAGAAGGCAAATGAAGCCTCTGTCCTGTGGGTGTCAGTGGCTTTCCAAAGATAAAAGCTTCTTCAGTCTTAAAATATGACAAATATCATGTTCTTTCTGGCAGAGAGATGCCAGAAAAAGGCAACTGGATCCTTAAGATAAAGAAGCTGTTAAGTTCTATTTTCAAAAGAGTAAGGTAAATCTTAAAGCAGGAACAAGAAAGCACCAGCCTTTGGCTTAAGTTCTCCCATGTGAAGAATAAGAGGTGGTGGTATCCTTCCCCATCTGTACTCAAAGCGGAAAAACAGCAGAAATATCTTTTTTTTAATTATACTTTAAGTTTTAGGGTACATGTGCACAACGTGCAGGTTTGTTACATATGTATACATGTGTCTTAAATACATATGACAAAGGGGCAATTCCACTGGTGCACTCTTTCTTGTTTTGCTTCTAGGGGTCCGTCCCATTCTTAATCTTTGCCCTTTCTTGTCTCTTTCACATAACTCTAAGACTCAGAGTTTTTTAATCTTTTCTTCTACTTCTCACTTCTTAACCAATATAGAAGACAAAAATAACATTTTAATTTTATATATTTCTCATTCAAATTAAAAAAGAAAGATGAGCCAGTTCAGTTCATATTTTGCACTAAAACTAATTTAACATTCCAAAGTTAAATTATTTGTGATCAACAAAAGGAAAAACATCTTACCCTATTAGCACCATCTGACATTTTCATCACCTTAGCATCATTAAATACAACAGGTCTGAGGTTGGAACTATAAAAAAATACCAAAAATCCCCAACCCCATTCATAATGCACACCACAGTTCAGGTAAGAACAAAAACTCACCATTATCTTTATTTTCTTTCAAAAACCCATTAACAGCGTGTTTGAATTTAAAAATAGTCTCATCATCAGGCACTTGATGTCCAACTGTAAAAATTTTTAAGTAAGGAACAGTTTCTGGCAAATCCTATAAAGCAAAACCATAAAAGATGTGTATTATTTCACTTGTAGAGAAATAATTAAAGAGTAATTAGGGGACCCAGAATATAAGCCAAGAGATTATAACAAACTTAATATGCCAATATCAGTATACACAATTCTGATAAAAGAGCCATTTTTTCCAACACTGCTTCAACCAGGAAGTATCACTTGATTTTCAATAAAACTACATAATAGATAGTCACTAGGTATACAAAACTGAAAGCAAATTCCATGTGAATGAATGCATATTTAACTATAAATTATATAAACAGTTCCATTTAATATTTTATAATTCAAGGGCCAGTGCCTTCATAAAGCAGCTATGATTTAAGTAGAAGAGTAGAGAATAGAGTCAGAAGAACTTGGATTTGAATTGTGAGATAGAGGGAATTCCAGGCACTATTGAGAACCGATATTCTTGGGGTGGGAGAAAAGTAGATACAGATAAAAGACAGAAGAGGCTAAGTCAAAATCATTTTAACCATCCACAAGTGTATAGTTCAGTGGCATTACATTCACAGTATTGTGTAACCATCACCACTGTCTATACCCAAAACTTTTTCATCATCCCCGACAAAAAGACTCTGACCACTAAACCATAATTCCCTTTTCTCCCCACCTCATAGATCCTTTAGTCTGCTTTCTGTCTCTGTGAATTTGTCTATTCTAGGTACTTCATACAAGTGGAATCATATATTTGTCCTTCTGTGTCTGGTTTATTTCACTAAGCATGTTTTTAAGGTTCATCCATATTGTAGCACGTATTAAATCTATTCTTTTTTATGGCTGAATAATATTCCATTTAAGACAGCAATTAAAAACATGTAATTAGAGAAATCACTTGGTTCTCTTTTAAACTTACTACCCATCAAAGAAGGCCAAGCTTCACATTAGCACAAGATGATTACTGAATTACTATAAATTATTTTAGGATCAGAAGGAAGAAAGTTCTTTTCATTGAAGGGTTCCACTTACCTCTGGTTTATAATAGCGTTGAGTATATGTTAAATCAATAATCAGTCCAAGTTCTTCATTTTGTTCTCGGATTTTGTTAAAAAGATCCAAAGGGGAAAAGCATTCTTCTGGAGCAAGTTTCTTTTCAAAACTCTGTCACAGAGAATGAAATAAGAGCAAATATGTGCTTAAAATCCTGTACTACATTAGGCATTTATTCAAGTCCTGTGATGCTAACATACAACGAGATTCAAAGGAAAGTTTCCATTCTCCTGGAACATAGAAGGTATATTACAACAATCCTTTCTTCCAGAGTGGTCAGAAAGAAAAAAATAAGCCCACTTCTATATATGTATTTCTGTATTTGTTTCATGTTGGTCTCCTAATCAGACTGTAATCTCCCAGATTTTATTCACCACTGTATCTCCAGCTCCAGGTGGAGTGCTTATCATATTTAGTGCTTATAAATATTTCTTTTCTTTTTTTTTTTTTTTTTTTGAAACAGGGTGTTGCTCTGTCATCCGTCATCCAGGCTGGAGTGCAGTGACACAAACATGGCTCACTGCAGCCTCCACCTCCTGGGCTCAAGCAATACTCCCACCTCAACCTCACAAGTAGCTGGGACTACAGGCATGAACCACCACACCTGGCCTTTTTTTTTTTTTTTTAAAGAGATAGGGTCAGCTGGGCGCAGTGGTTCACACCTGTAATCCCAGCACTTTGGGAGGCCAAGGCGGGAGGATCACAAGGTCAGGAGATCGAGACCATCCTGGCTAACACTGTGAAACCCCGTCTCTACTAAAAATACAAAAAATTAGCCAGGGGTGGTGGCAGGCGCCTGTAGTCCCAGCTACCGGGAGGCTGAGGCAGGAGAATGGCGTGAACCCGGGAGGCAGAGCTTGCAGTGAGCCGAGATCACACCACTGCACTCCAGCCTGGGTGACAGAGTGACTCCATCTCAAAAAAAAAATTTAAAAAAAAAAAAAAAAAAAAAAAAGAGATAGGGTCTTGCCGTCTTGCCATGTAGCCCAGGCTGATCTCAAACTCCTGAGCTCAAGCAACCCTCCTGTCTCGGCCTCACAAATAAATATTTCTCACATGTCTACATATATGAAGGATGGCTTTCATTGCTGAATATTCTTTTATGTATGTGGCTTATTTTTGAACTTTATGCTCTGTTCCTTCAATCTGTCTGGCTACTCAGGTGCCAGCAATGTACTTTTTAAAAAATAGACTAGTTTGGCTGGGTGCGGTGGCTCAAGCCTGTAATCCCAGCACTTTGGGAGGCCGAGGCAGGAGGATCACGAGGTCAGGAGATCGAGACCATCCTGGCTAACACGGTGAAACCCCATCTCTACTAAAAACACAAAAAAATTAGCCAGGCGTGGTGGCAGGCGCCGGTAGTTCCAGCTACTCAGGAGGCAGAGGCAGGAGAATGGCGTGAACCCAGGAGGCAGAGCTTGCAGTGAACCAAGATCACACCACTGCACTCCAGCCTGGGCGACAAGCGAGACACCATCTCAAAAAAAAAAAAAAAAAAATAGACTAGTTTTCAGAGCAGTTTTAGGTTCACAGCAAAACTGAGCCAAAAGGACAGATAGTTCCCACATGTACTTTGCCTTCCCCAACCCACCCAGACTCCCCCACTATCCACATTCCATACCAGTGTGGTCCATTTGTTACAAATGAAGAACCAACTCTGACACATCGTTATCACCAAAGTCTAGAGGTTAGGTATGCGTGATTCATTCTATGTTATGCATTGTATGTACATATTATGTTATATATATTTTGCCACAAAAAAAATGAGAGAAAGAACTAAGTTCAAGTTTTGATTCTTCCTTTTCTGAGCCTGTTTGATTATCTACAAAATTATTTATTAGATGTAACCATCTATTCTCTGAGCTTAGTGCAGAATAAGCACTCAGTAAGAGATATTAGTACTACTGCTACTTCATCAGCACAGGATTGTTGTGAAATGTGTTAATATACGTGAAGCCCTTTTATAGGTTTTGATCAATATATAACATGTATCCACCCTTAGAGTATCACACAGAATAGTTTCACTTCCCTAAAAATTCCCTGTGTCTCCAACACCTTCTTTTTGGAGACAGGGTCTTGCTCTGTTGCCCAGGCTGGAGTACAGTGGCATGATCATGGCTCACTGCAGCCTTGACCTCCTGGGTTCAATCGATCCTCCCACTTCAGCCTCCTGAGCAGCTGAGACTACAAGCACACGCCACCGCGCCTGGTTAATTTTTGTATTTTTTGTAGAGACACGGTTTCAGTGTTGCCCAGGCTGGTCTAAAACTCCTGGACTCAAGCGATACACCCACCTTGCCTCCCAAAGTACTGGATTACAAACATGATCCAACAGGCCTGGCCTGAAATGACTCATTTTTAAGCCCAGACATGCAGAGAAGCTGACACAGCAGTTGAAAAAGGAAATCTGATCTATAAGTCACAAATTAAGTAAATTCCCAAAACGTTTCAAGTAGGCTTCTCCTGATACTAATCTGAGCTATGCTGGGGAAGTCTAATAAGAAAGACATGGAATCTAGAAAACAATTATTTGTCTTCACCTTCTCATCTTTTTTATGGCTGTCAAAAGCTTTCCCCTCCTATCCCTCCTATTCCTTTCCTAGTTTAAACAAAAATACAATCTTCAGATTTTCCCCACTGAAATCCTGACCTTGATGATCCGGGGGATATTTCTGATTGTGACCATGGAAGGAAAGGAGTCCCACTGGCATTCAGTGGGTAAGGGTTACAAATTCTAAACAACTTGCCAAATTCAGGACAGTCCTACAAATGTGTCCCACATCCTGAATGGCTTTTGGATGTCCTATTCAAGATTAATATAGATAAAAAGCTGTTCATATTTAGCTTGGCCTCAGAACCTAACTCCATTTCACAAATAAACACAAAGTATTTTTTGTACAATACTAATATATATTGAATTTTCCAGGATAATAATCACCTTATCAACCAAATGAAGATTATACTTTGTTATATTTGGAAATCTATTACAGAAACTCCTACCACTAAAGCAATACAACCCACCTAGATCAGTCTACATTTGTAATTCTTGAATTCATGGCGCAGGCAACTATTACTCTATGTCTTTTAATGTAGTCATGTCCAAACATTTATATATTGAAATAAATATTATTTTATTATAAATTACTTTTATTTTATTTTTTATATTATAGTTAGGGTGTTAATTGGTATTTTTGTTTAAAATATGAAGTAGGTTGTATGTACCTATGAACTTCATTTCAGGATAGTAAAGGGGTCATTACAAAGTATTTGCTATAAAAAGAGAAAATGGAATGTGATAGAGTGGAGAGCAGTGTTCTGCATGGTGAACTCAGATGCCTGAAAGAATACTGAATTAACTTTTGCTTACCTTTTGCAAAGGAACTTTGAAAGCAATGAAACGAGTCCCAGGCATCCGCTGTCCAACTGGGAGATAGTCTTTCCACCTATTAGATATATTTTTTGTTAGCCAAATTGTATGTTAGCCTTGTTTCCTTGCACAAAATAAGACTTTTTGAAAATGGGAATCATAGCCCGCACAACATGTCCTCTCTCCTCTCTGCTTTGCATTTCGCCACTCCACTTATTAAACCCCACCAAGTAACGACCTATACCGTCCTTCTCTCCTGTTTCCCCATCATAAAAACGAACACAAGCCAACACAACAGTACAACTCAAATAAGGCCTATATAAAACCGGAGATACCCAGAACTTCTGTATCCCTGTTAAACTTGGCCCAGTACCAGATACTAAAGTGCCATTAATACAAACATATTCACTGAAATAATTTAAATTCAATTATTTCACTTCACGCTTTTAGTTTTCATACGACTGATGCCATAAAGTTCAATTAGTAGGAAACTTCAAGTTCATATTTTAAGAGAAAACCTGCTAGAAGAGGGACTGTGAACTTCACTTAATAATGCTAGGAACTGGCCGGGCGCGGTGGCTCACGTCTGTTAATCCCGGCAATTTGGGAGGCTGAGGCAGGTGGATCACCTGAGGTCAGGAGTTCGAGACCAGCCTGACCCACATGGTGAAACCCCATCTCTACTAAAAATACAAAAAAAATTAGCCGGGTGTGGTGGCGGGCGCCTGTAATCCCAGCAACTTGGGCGGCTGAGGGAGGAGAATCGCTTGAATCCGGGAGGCGGAGGTTGCAGTGAGCCGAGATTGGACCATTGCACTCCAGCCTGGCGGAGAAGAGCAAAAATCCATCCCAAAAACAAAAACAAAAAAACGGATTGGAAGAAAACAAACAGGAGATTCACTAATTAGAACCCCACTGCAATAAGTCAGGCAAGACCTGTATTAGGGTACTGACAGAAAGTGACAGTCAAAAGATAGTAGATAAAATGAAGAGGATTTATTGAGGTATGAGATGGTGGAGGATGGTCTCAAGGAGTAAAAACAGTTCAATGCACCTACGTGCAAAGTCTCAAAATTAATCATTTGTACGTATAAAGGAGTTATCTTTCAAATGAGGCCTGTTAGGAAGTAACAAAGTATGCTCTTTGTGATTTCTGGAAACAATACAAACCAACTTTCCATGTGAGATCTCAGGGCGCTACTACTGCTGGGTTCCTAACTCAAACCATTACACTTTCCGTGCCAACGTAACAAGGAATTGAGGAGGTTCCATTTTGGGAATTAAGGAGTGTCCCCAACAGTAACAGTCCCACCTTAAAGCAATCCTTCCGTATTTTACCTAAGAGCAATGGCCAGAACCTCCCTTTTACAAGAATATGGAGAAATCACAGGACATCACAGACATCGCCCCTTTCAGCTACAGCGGGTGGCGCAGAGGGTCAAAGCCTCAAAGCAAGCGGCGGACAAGTCAAGCTTGCGATGGCAACGGCGAGAGGCAGAGACCACAAACGATGAAGCCCAGACCCAGAAGCCACGAGCTGGAAAGGCCACGCCAAGGGACCAAGACATACTACCTTTCGGGGATGTGGTTTCCGCCCTTCTTCTTGGCTGAGGAGCGTCCTGAAAAGTCGCGTCTCCGGCCCCAGCCACTGCGGGGATGATGCCACTGGCTCATGTGGGTCCCAAGAAGCCGCCCACCCAATGCCAAGTCGGCCAAAAGCGCCAGTCCGGCGCCCTCAATGCCAGGATAAGACCCTAAACAGGAAAAGACTCGGCAGCCACCTACGCCGCGCTCCAGCGTCTCGCTATTGCGCATGTGCCACCGCCGGTCGTGATGGCGTAGCCACGCTGGCTTACTGAGACTCCTGATCTGTAAACAGGACTTTGGTGGCTACAGCGCCCTCTTTAGCCAGAGGCCAGTAGCACAGGTCAATAAGGGCGTGTATGCACCCTTCAGAATTCAAACAGTGAGGCACAGGGAAGTCCCTCTGCCCGATCCGCCCCACGCCCCGGTTCCTTGTGTGTTCTTCTAGATATTTACCAGCGCTTACATTCACATTTTGCATATTTTGTATACATATTTACTTTCACATATATGTATATCCTCTATTTTTATACAAAAGGAGTAACTGTACATATTCTACAGTATACCTTAAACACTGATTATCCCAGTCAATTTATGCATACATAGATTCTATTTTTAATGGCTATAGGCAATTTACTTGCTTATGAGTAACATAATTAAAAGTACCATAACGTATTTAGCCAGTTCAATATTAATGGACCTTTAGTTGTTTTCAGGTTCTTTTCAAATCTTGTTACAGACAATGCTGCAATGTGAACATCCTTATACATATATACAACTATATCTAAATTCCTAGAAGTAGAATGTCTGGAATGAAACACATACAAACTTAAAATTTGGAAAGATACTACCTAATTACCCTCCAAAAATAATGTAGAAACATACACTCCCATCAAAGCCAAACTTTTATTGGGTTCCTATCACATACCAGGTATCATGCTAGAGGTGGACAGAATGTATTTAAGTTTTAGCAAATACAAAAAATAACTGAGAGTGGAGCTCAAGTCCAAGGTTTCCACACAGTCTCAAGCATAAAGATCTGTACCCGTTAGAAAAACGTTCAATTCTGCTAAAAGTGGAACTACAAAGGACAGCATACCCTATAGCAGCTTTGAAAATAGAATAGAGTACTAAATTCCAGATTAAACTGTAAGTAATTATGATTGCAGACTTTTTTTTTTTTTTTTTGAGACCCAGTCTCACTCTGCCACCAGGCTGGAGTGCAGTGGTGCCATCTCAGCTCACTGCAACCTCCGCCTCCCGGGTTCAAGCAATTCTCCCTGCCTCAACCTCCTGAGTAGCTGGGACTACAGGTGCATGCCACGACTCCCAGCCAATTTTTTGTATTTTAGTAGAGACAGGGTTTCTCCATGTTGGCCAGGATGGTCTCGATGTCTTGACCTCATGATCAGCACTCCTCGACCTCCGAAAGTGCTGGGATTACAGGCTTGAGCCACCGCACCTGGCCAATGGCAGATTTTTGAAAGTAATTTTTACTTCTTAGTTTCTAATTTATGAAAGTAACTTACATATATTTTTAGTAATCTTTGCAACCATTTCAGAGCTGGGTAAACCAAGGATAAGAAAGGTCAGAGCTATTGAATAAATGAATATTAATAAAGCTAGACTGCTAGCTTTATTAACATTTTTGAGACAGTACTTTTCCAACCAGTTTTAAATACATAAACATTTACAATTCTGAAAATTTCCACATCATTAAAAATGTGTCAATATTCATAAATTGTTCATTGGAAAAAGAAAAAGACAGGATAGCAGAACATAACAAACCTACAATTAGGAACATTTAATTATTTGTTGTTGTTGTTGTTGAGATGGAGTCTCTCTCTGTCACCCAGGCTAGAGTGCAGTGGCGCGATCTCAGCTCACTGCAACCTCTGCCTCCTGGGTTCAAGCAATTCTCCTGCCTCAGCCTCTTGAGTAGCTGCGACTACAGGCGTGTGCCACCATGCCCGGCTAATTTTTGTATTTTTAGTAAAGACAAGGTTTCACCAAGTTGGCCAGGCTGGTCTTGAACTCCTGACCTCAAGTCATCTGCTCTCTTCGGCCTCCCAAAGTGCTGGGATGACAGGCGTGAGCCCCTGCGCCCAGCCCACATTCAAATTTGACATTAAATTGTAAAATATTGTGGCCGGGCATGGTGGCTCATGCCTGTAATTCCAGCACTTTGGGAGGCCGAGGCGGGCAGGTCACTTGAGGTCAGGAGTTAGAGATCAACCTGGCCAACATGGTAAAATCCTATCTCTACTAAAAATACAGAAATTAGCTGGGCGTGGTGGCTCATACCTGTAGTCCAGGGTACTTGGGAGGCTGAGGCAGGAGAATGGCTTGAACATGGGAGGCGGAGGTTGCAGTGAGCCAAGATTGTGCCATTGCACTCCAGCCTGGGCAACAGAGCGAGACTCTGTATCACGAAATAAATAAATAAATAATACAATGTTTTTCTGAAATGCATGAAAAATTCCAATAGGTGTATAGTAGCCCAAAACTACAAATGTTACAAATGTCTATAGACATGACAAGATACAAAACGTGACATAAATCTTTCAGAAGCTAGAAAAGCTGTATTGGGCTTACACTTTCAATTTGCTAAAAGACACAACATTGGGGTGAGAACAAACTCAGTTATAGTTGACACAAGAAAATCCAGACCTAGGCGGAATAGGGTTCCTAGAAAGTAACCAGACATACTAATGAATAACATAAATGAGGTAATATGACATAAAACATAATGGAAAAAGAATATTATGATTATTTTCTTCAGTGTACAGAAGTAATGGAAGTTCTGGACTAGCTACATAAAAAATATTAAATTCTATGTTCTATTAATACAAAATAAGTGTGTCGAATTGTTTGTCACATAAACCAAAAAATCCACACAAATCTCTTTTTCCCTGTACCCTCAACTTGCCTGTTTCCTATTCTCCACTAAATGCTTAAATTCTTCATTTTGCCTAGCCCTTGCACCCAAGCATGGCTGACAGGATATCCCAAAGGCCCAAGATTCTATAGTGGCTGTTTGCAAGAGAGAGGAGGCTAAAAGTAACTGCCATACTGGATCCCCTTATGTGAGAAGAAAGAAAGTATCCTGAATGCTTCTCACGTATAAAAGAGCAGGATGGCAGGGTGTCTGTGTGGCCCAAGGAGCCAGAGGTAGCAAACCATGGGCAAAAGAAATGTGACCAAAGGCTAGAAGAGGGAAGGTCTGCAGTCAGCCTTGTCTTCTACCTCTCTGGTGTTTGCTTCTCATAAGCAGAGTCCGTATTCCAAACATCCGGACACTGAAAAGAAGACTCCTGCTCTGGAAGTTGACAAGAAGGAATATCCACAAATGTAAAAATGCAAGATCAAGGCTTGGCCCAGAAACGATGCCTAAAATCAAGGGGTTAAAAAAAGGAGAGCAGAAGAGAGATCCAAGTCCAACCTGGCCCAGCCCAAAGAAGGTAGGATTCAAGGAGAAGAAACTAAAAGAGAAGAGCCTTGGACCACATCCTTTCCTACAATGGGCAGTCAACGAACTTTGCCGTTCAACCAAGTTACAAAAGAAGGCTCTTTAATCCCTTCTTTGGCCCTTAAAAGCGGCAGCAGGGCCGGGCGCCGTGGCTCCCGCCTGTAATCCCAGCACTTTGGGAGGCAGGGGAAGACCGATCACGAGGTCAGGTGATCGAGATCATCCTGGCTAACAGGGTGAAACCCCGTCTCTACCAAAAATACAAAAAATTAGCCAGGCGAAGTGGCAGGACTCAGGAGGCTGAGTCAGGAGAATGGCATGAACCTGGGAGGTGGAGCTTGCAGTGAGCCGAGGTCACGCCACTGCACTCCAGCCTGGGCGACAGAGCCAGACTCCATCTCACAAAAAATACAATAAAATTAAAAAGCAGCAGTAAATTCATTAATCAGATTCACTGAAATAGTTTTAGAACAACTGTAATTGCTCAACTTAAACATCCCTTTCCTTTCTCCCCAAGGATATTGTGTATGTACTATATAATTATAAATGCATACTATTACATATTATGAAATGTAACATATAAAATATAAATGTTAGTTAATTATATTAGTGAACATTTATGAGAAACATTGAGATGATCTCCCTAACATGAGAGCCTGGGGGAAAGTGGGACTATCATGTCTGTCTTGCAGATTTCACCTCCCCAGAGCTCAGCCACTTAGTGCTGTTACACCTTTCCTACCACCTCTGCCAGCCAATCCTGTCTTGTGGGGAATCTGACCTCCCTATTGGCTATCGCAGACCTTTAAACTGCCTGCTTTGTGACATCATTCTCCCACCAAACCGACCACCACCTGGTAGCATCTTGGGGTTTCCTGGGCGTGGCCTGTAAATTTGTATCATCACAAGGGGCCAGTGACCAGTAACCAGTGACCAGTGGCCTTCATACTGGACACATGCACTGGTTGGCTTCAGCCACCCAGACATCCGCTAGTATCGTCTCTTCTTCCCTTCTATCTGCAGTTGATGTTTCTTCTTCTCTGACCATGTCAGGTAAAGAGAGAAACTTTTTAAAAAGGTTTTCATGAGATTTCTTTGCCACTAAATTTAGATTTCTTTCCCCCTATATTCCCAAACAGCTTGGAATAACAGGGAAAGTATTGAAGTAGAAATCCAGAGACCTCATTTCAGTTTTGGCTTTGACATTTACTAGCTGTGTGACTTTAGATAACTTTTATTCTCTCACAAAATCTGTTTCCTCATCTATTACACTAGGATAATAGACTGGTTATTCCCCCTGGCCCTTTTCTTTTCTAATACTGAGTCTTAAAGGGTATACGTATAGAAAATGAAATCAGAGACTTTCTGAGAGTGTTCATTTCAACAGAAACAGAGAAAAAACCAAAGTGGTCTAGAAAACTAGCAATATATTCTGAGATGTTTCATGTGTAATAGCCTCCCTCCACTAATATTTCAACTTTCGTATTTTAAATTTAGTGATGTTTAGTGATGTTTTAAATAATATTCAGCCAGGCACGGTGGCTCACACCTGTAATCTCAGCACTTTGGGAGGCCATCTCCCTCACTAATATTTCAACTTTCCTATTTTAAATTTAGTGATGTTTACTGATGTGTAGTGATGTTTTTAATATTCAGTTGGGCGTGGTAGCTCATGCCTGCAATGTCAATGCTTTGGGAGCCTGAGGTGGGAGGATCGCTTTGGGCCTAGGAGTTCCCGGCCAGTCTGGGCAACATGGCAAGACCCCATCTCTACAAAAACTTTTTAAGACTCAGCCAGGGTTGGGTGTATGCCAGCTACGCAGGAGGCTGAGGTGGGAGGATCAGAGGACTGCTTGAGCCCAGGAGGCTGAGACTGCAGTGAGCCATGTTCATACCACTGGACTTCAGCCTGGGTGACAAAGTGAGACCCTGTCACAAACAAACAAACAAACAAACAAACAAAAAAGAAAAGTAGTATTCACGTTTTGGACATTCCTATCTAAACTAGGTGGAAAGAGAAAATGGAGAGTACTGGGTTCTAAGGAGGCAGGTATTCTAGGGTAAGTAATTTGGTATTTTAATTTAAGCAGAAAGACATGGTCCCCTACTTTTCCCCTTGGGATATGCCCTGGAGAATGACAAAATGATTTTAAAAGAAAAAAATATATTTTAAATTTGAAAAAAAAAAGCAGAAGGACAACAGAGTGAAATGTATTCAGAGTAGGGCAAAATGAAGTTGATTTTAGCAAATGCTTAGATCAATGGACGAGGAAGGAAACAGGCTACATTACATATCCCTAGGAAAAGCAGCTTATCAGAAGTCATATTCAGTCACTTTTTTCTGTTGCCTTTTTGAACATAGATGACACTTGACAGTTTGTAATATAAACATTTTGGAAATATGTTTTAGAGGCCAGGCTCGGTGGCTTACACCTGTAATCCCAGCACTTTGGGAGGCCGAGGTGGGCTGATCACCTGAGGTCAGGAGTGTGAGACAAGCCTGACCAACAAGGAGAAACCCCACCTCTACTAAAAATACCAAATTAGCCGGGCATGGTGGCACATGCGTGTAATCCCAGCTACTTGGGAGGCTGAGGCAGGACAATCACTTGAACCCGAGAGGCAAAGGTTGTGGTGAGCCAAGATCGCGCCATTGCACTCCAGCCTGGGCAATAAGAGGGAAACTCCGCTTCAAAAAGAAAAAAAAAGAAAGAGAGAAATATGTTTTAGAAATGAGGCTTCCAGGCAGGGTGCGGTGGCTCACACCTGTAATCACAGCACTTTGCAAGGCTGACGCAGGCGGATTGCCTGAGGTCAGAAGTTGGAGACCAGCCTAGGCAACATGGTGAAACCCCATTTCTCCTGAAAATATAAGAATTAGCTGGGTGTGGTGGCGTGCACCTGTAATCCTCCTACTTGGGAGGCTCAGGCATCAGAATTGCTTGAACCAGGGAGGCGCATGATGCAGTGAGCCGAGATCGTGCCACTGCCCTCCAGCCTAGGCGACAGAGCGAGACTCCATCTAAAAACAAACAAACAAATAAACAAACAAATGATCAATGCAGGTATCTCTAAAAGCTTACCACCAAGGAAAATGATTATATCCATAGATTTCCTCCCCCAAACCAGCTTAGTCCACACGTAAATCATTAGCAACTCAGCCCTAACTCATTTTATCACAGTTACAAGAGAAGTTAGTGAGAAAAGCACTAACTAGGAAAATGAAAACCAAGGCAATCCAAGTCAACTTGGGCTCACTGCAGACATCTGTTCCTTATGCTTGGGCACACAGCACAACTCACAACAGTGCCTTTTTCACAGACCCCTCTTTAATTTCCTCCACAAAACCCATCAGGTCACCATAGTTCATGATGTTTCAAAATAAACAACCATCATGAGAAAAACATGCAGTATGTCTTACAATCTTGTATTCCTTAAAAATATGACAAGGAAAAAACATGTAGAAAAACCAGAGGATTTAAAAGCAATCTACAGGCCACGCACGGTGGCTCACACCTGTAATCCCAGCACTTTGCGAGGCTGAGGCAGGAAGATCAACCGAGGTCAGGAGTTTGAGACCAGCCTGGACAACATGGTGAAACCTTGTCCTTAATAAAAATACAAAAATTAGCCAGGGATAGTGGCGGCACCCGTTATCCCAGCCACTTGGGAGGCTGAGGCAGGAGAATCACTTGGACCAAGGAGGCAGAGGTTGCAGTGAGCCAAGACCGTGCCACTGCACTCCAGCCTGGGCAAAAGAGTGAAATTCTGTCTCACTCTTATAAATAAAATAAAGTTAATAAAACAAAAGCAATTTACATTCTACAGACATACTAATGAATGACATAAATGAGGTAATACGGTATAAAACAAAATGGAAAAAATACATTATGATTATTTTCTTCAGTGTACAGAAGTCATGGAAGTTCTGGACTATCTAGCTACATAAAAAATATTGGGCCAGGCGCAGTGGCACACGCCTGTAATCCCAGCACTTTGGGAGGCTGAGGTGGGCAGATCCCAAGGTCAGGAGACCATCCTGGCTGACACGGTGAAACCCCGTCTCTACAAAAAAATACAAAAAATTAGCCGGGCATGGTGGCGAGTACCTGTAATCCCAGCTACTCGGGAGGCTGAGGCACGAGAATGGTGTGAACCTGGGAGGCAGAGCTTGAAGCTAGCAGAGATCGGCCACTGCCCTCCAGCCTGGGTGACAGAGAGAGACTCTGTCTCAAAAAAAAAAAAAAAAAGAATTGTCTATTTTGTTAATACAAAATAGGTATGTTGAATTGTTTGTCACAGAAACCAAAAAATCCACATAAATCTCTTTTTTCCTGTACCCTCACCTTGCCTGTTTCCTATTCTCCACTAAATGCTTCAACTCTTCATTTTGCCTGGCCCTTGCACCCAAGCATGGCTGACAGAAAATCCTAAAGGCCCAAGATTCTATAGTGGCTGTTTGCAAGGGAGACGAGGCTATAAGTAACTGCCACACTGGATCCTCTTATGTGAGAAGAAAGAAAGTATCCAGAATGCCTCTCACATATAAAAGAGCAGGATGGCAGGGTGTCTGTGTGGCCCAAGGAGCCAGAGGTAGCAAACTGTGGGCAAAAGAATTGTGACCAAAGGCTAGAAGAGAGAAGGTCTGCAGTCAGCCTTGTCTTCTACCTCTCTGCTGTTTGCTTCTCATGAGGAGAGTCCGTTTTCCACACATCGGGACACTGAAAAGAAGACTCCTGCTCTGGAAGTTGACAAGAAGGAATATTCACGAATGTAAAAATGCAAGATCAAGGCTTGGCCCAGAAACAATGCCTAAAATCAAGGGGTTAAAAAAGGGAGAGCAGAAGAGAGATCCAAGTCCAACCTGGCCCAGCCCAAAGAAGGTGGAATTCAAGGAGAAGAAACTAAAAGAGAAGAGCCTTGGACCACATCATTTCCTACAAGGGGCAGTCAACGAACTTTGCTGTTCAAGTTACGAAAGGGGGTTCTTTAATCCCTTCCTCTGGCCATTAAAAGCGGCAGTGGGGCCAGGCGCGGTGGCTCCCGCCTGTAATCCCAGCACTCTGGGAGGCAGATGCGGGCGGATCACGAGGTCAGGTGATCGAGACCATCCTGGCTAACAGGGTGAAACCCTGTCCCTACTAAAAATACAAAAAATTAGCCGGCTGAAGTGGCAGGCGCCTGTAGTCCCAGCTACTCAGGAGGCTGAGGCAGTAGAATAGCGTGAACCTGGGAGGTGGTGCTTGCAGTGAGCCAAGATCACGCCACTGCACTCCAGCCTGGGTGACAGAGCCAGACTCCATCTCACAAAAAATACAATAAAATTAAAAAGCAGCAGTAAATTCATTAATCAGATTCACTGAAATAGTTTTAGAACAACTGTAATTGCTCAACTTAGACATCCCCTTCCTTTCTCCCCAAGGATATTGTGTATGTACTGTATAATTATAAATGCATACTATTACATATTATGAAATGTAACATATAAAATATAAATGTTAATTATATTAGTGAACATTTATGAGAAACATTGAGATGATCTCCCTAACATGAGAGCCTGGGGGAAAGTGGGACTATCATGTCTGTCTTGCAGATTTCACCTCCCCAGAGCTCAGCCACTTAGTGCTGTTACACCTTTCCTACCACCTCTGCCAGCCAATCCTGTCTTGTGGGGAATCTGACCTCCCTATTGGCTATCGCAGACCTTTAAACTGCCTGCTTTGTGACATCATTCTCCCACCAAACCGACCGCCACCTGGTAGCATCTTGGGGTTTCCTGGGCGTGGCCTGTAAATTTGTATCATCACAAGGGGCCAGTGACCAGTAACCAGTGACCAGTGGCCTTCATACTGGACACATGCACTGGTTGGCTTCAGCCACCCAGACATCCGCTAGTATCGTCTCTTCTTCCCTTCTATCTGCAGTTGATGTTTCTTCTTCTCTGACCATGTCAGGTAAAGAAAGAAACTTCTTAAAAAGGTTTTCATGAGATTTCTTTGCCACTAAATTTAGGTTTCTTCCCCCCTATATTCCCAAACAGCTTGGAATAACAGGGAAATTATTGAAGTAGAAATCCAGAGACCTCATTTCAGTTTTGGCTTTGACATTTACTAGCTGTGTGACTTTAGATAACGTTTATTCTCTCATAAAATCTGTTTCCTCATCTATTACACTAGGATAATAGACTGGTTATTCCCCCTGGCCCTTTTCTTTTCTAATACTGAGTCTTAAAGGGTATATGTATAGAAAATGAAATCAGAGACTTTCTGAGAGTGTTCATTTCAACAGAAACAGAGAAAAAACCAAAGTGGTCTAGAAAACTAGCAATATATTCTGAGATGTTTCATGTGTAATAGTCTCCCTCTACTAATATTTCAACTTTCGTATTTTAAATTTAGTGATGCTTAGTGATGTTTTAAATAATATTCAGCCAGGCACGGTGGCTCATACCTGTAATCTCAGCACTTTGGGAGGCCATCTCCCTCACTAATATTTCAACTTTCCTATTTTAAATTTAGTGATGTTTACTGATGTGTAGTGATGTTTTTAATATTCAGTTGGGCGTGGTAGCTCATGCCTGCAATATCAATGCTTTGGGAGCCTGAGGTGGGAGGATCGCTTTGGGCCTAGGAGTTCCCGGCCAGTCTGGGCAACATGGCAAGACCCCATCTCTACAAAAACTTTTTAAGACTCAGCCAGGGTTGGGTGTATGCCAGCTACGCAGGAGGCTGAGGTGGGAGGATCAGAGGACTGCTTGAGCCCAGGAGGCTGAGACTGCAGTGAGCCATGTTCATACCACTGGACTTCAGCCTGGGTGACAAAGTGAGACCCTGTCACAAACAAACAAACAAACAAACAAACAAAAAAGAAAAGTAGTATTCACGTTTTGGACATTCCTATCTAAACTAGGTGGAAAGAGAAAATGGAGAGTACTGGGTTCTAAGGAGGCAGGTATTCTAGGGTAAGTAATTTGGTATTTTAATTTAAGCAGAAAGACATGGTCCCCTACTTTTCCCCTTGGGATATGCCCTGGAGAATGACAAAATGATTTTAAAAGAAAAAAATATATTTTAAATTTGAAAAAAAAAAGCAGAAGGACAACAGAGTGAAATGTATTCAGAGTAGGGCAAAATGAAGTTGATTTTAGCAAATGCTTAGATCAATGGACGAGAAAGGAAACAGGCTACATTACATATCCCTAGGAAAAGCAGCTTATCAGAAGTCATATTCAGTCACTTTTTTCTGTTGCCTTTTTGAACATAGATGACACTTGACAGTTTGTAATATAAACATTTTGGAAATATGTTTTAGAGGCCGGGCACGGTGGCTTACGCCTGTAAACCAAGCACTTTGGGAGGCCGAGGTGGGCTGATCACCTGAGGTCAGGAGTGTGAGACAAGCCTGACCAACAAGGAGAAACCCCATCTCTACTAAAAATACCAAATTAGCCGGGCATGGTGGCACATGCGTGTAATCCCAGCTATTTGGGAGGCTGAGGCAGGAGAATCGCTTGAACCCGAGAGGCAAAGGTTGTGGTGAGCCAAGATCGCGCCATTGCACTCCAGTCTGGGCAATAAGAGCGAAACTCCGCTTCAAAAGAAAAAAAAAAGAAACCAACATGTTTTAGAAATGAGGCTTCCAGGCGGGGTGCGGTGGCTCACGCCTGTAATCACAGCACTTTGCGAGGCTGAGGTGGGAAGATCACCGGAGGTCAGGAGTTGGAGACCAGCCTGGCCAACGTGGTCAAACCCCATCTCTACTAAGAATACAAAAATTAGCTGGGTGTGGTGGTGTGCACCTTTAATCCTACGTACTTGGGAGGCTCAGGCATCAGAATTGCTTGAACCAGGGAGGCGCATGATGCAGTGAGCCGAGATCGTGCCACTGCCCTCCAGCCTAGGCGACAGAGCGAGACTCCATCTAAAAACAAACAAACAAATAAACAAACAAATGATCAATGCAGGTATCTCTAAAAGCTTACCACCAAGGAAAATGATTATATCCATAGATTTCCTCCCCCAAACCAGCTTAGTCCACACGTAAATCATTAGCAACTCAGCCCTAACTCATTTTATCACAGTTACAAGAGAAGTTAGTGAGAAAAGCACTAACTAGGAAAATGAAAACCAAGGCAATCCAAGTCAACTTGGGCTCACTGCAGACATCTGTTCCTTATGCTTGGGCACACAGCACAACTCACAACAGTGCCTTTTTCACAGACCCCTCTTTAATTTCCTCCACAAAACCCATCAGGTCACCATAGTTCATGATGTTTCAAAATAAACAACCATCATGAGAAAAACATGCAGTACGTCTTACAATCTTGTATTCCTTAAAAATATGACAAGGAAAAAACATGTAGAAAAACCAGAGGATTTAAAAGCAATCTACAGGCCACGCACGGTGGCTCACACCTGTAATCCCAGCACTTTGCGAGGCTGAGGCAGGAAGATCAACCGAGGTCAGGAGTTTGAGACCAGCCTGGACAACATGGTGAAACCTTGTCCTTAATAAAAATACAAAAATTAGCCAGGGATAGTGGCGGCACCCGTTATCCCAGCCACTTGGGAGGCTGAGGCAGGAGAATCACTTGGACCAAGGAGGCAGAGGTTGCAGTGAGCCAAGACCGTGCCACTGCACTCCAGCCTGGGCAAAAGAGTGAAATTCTGTCTCACTCTTATAAATAAAATAAAGTTAATAAAACAAAAGCAATTTACATTCTACAGACATACTAATGAATGACATAAATGAGGTAATACGGTATAAAACAAAATGGAAAAAATACATTATGATTATTTTCTTCAGTGTACAGAAGTCATGGAAGTTCTGGACTATCTAGCTACATAAAAAATATTGGGCCAGGCGCAGTGGCACACGCCTGTAATCCCAGCACTTTGGGAGGCTGAGGTGGGCAGATCCCAAGGTCAGGAGACCATCCTGGCTGACACGGTGAAACCCCGTCTCTACAAAAAAATACAAAAAATTAGCCGGGCATGGTGGCGAGTACCTGTAATCCCAGCTACTCGGGAGGCTGAGGCACGAGAATGGTGTGAACCTGGGAGGCAGAGCTTGAAGCTAGCAGAGATCGGCCACTGCCCTCCAGCCTGGGTGACAGAGAGAGACTCTGTCTCAAAAAAAAAAAAAAAAGAATTGTCTATTTTGTTAATACAAAATAGGTATGTTGAATTGTTTGTCACAGAAACCAAAAAATCCACATAAATCTCTTTTTTCCTGTACCCTCACCTTGCCTGTTTCCTATTCTCCACTAAATGCTTTAACTCTTCATTTTGCCTGGCCCTTGCACCCAAGCATGGCTGACAGAAAATCCTAAAGGCCCAAGATTCTATAGTGGCTGTTTGCAAGGGAGACGAGGCTATAAGTAACTGCCACACTGGATCCTCTTATGTGAGAAGAAAGAAAGTATCCAGAATGCCTCTCACATATAAAAGAGCAGGATGGCAGGGTGTCTGTGTGGCCCAAGGAGCCAGAGGTAGCAAACTGTGGGCAAAAGAATTGTGACCAAAGGCTAGAAGAGAGAAGGTCTGCAGTCAGCCTTGTCTTCTACCTCTCTGCTGTTTGCTTCTCATGAGGAGAGTCCGTTTTCCACACATCGGGACACTGAAAAGAAGACTCCTGCTCTGGAAGTTGACAAGAAGGAATATTCACGAATGTAAAAATGCAAGATCAAGGCTTGGCCCAGAAACAATGCCTAAAATCAAGGGGTTAAAAAAGGGAGAGCAGAAGAGAGATCCAAGTCCAACCTGGCCCAGCCCAAAGAAGGTGGAATTCAAGGAGAAGAAACTAAAAGAGAAGAGCCTTGGACCACATCATTTCCTACAAGGGGCAGTCAACGAACTTTGCTGTTCAAGTTACGAAAGGGGGTTCTTTAATCCCTTCCTCTGGCCATTAAAAGCGGCAGTGGGGCCAGGCGCGGTGGCTCCCGCCTGTAATCCCAGCACTCTGGGAGGCAGATGCGGGCGGATCACGAGGTCAGGTGATCGAGACCATCCTGGCTAACAGGGTGAAACCCTGTCCCTACTAAAAATACAAAAAATTAGCCGGCTGAAGTGGCAGGCGCCTGTAGTCCCAGCTACTCAGGAGGCTGAGGCAGTAGAATAGCGTGAACCTGGGAGGTGGTGCTTGCAGTGAGCCAAGATCACGCCACTGCACTCCAGCCTGGGTGACAGAGCCAGACTCCATCTCACAAAAAATACAATAAAATTAAAAAGCAGCAGTAAATTCATTAATCAGATTCACTGAAATAGTTTTAGAACAACTGTAATTGCTCAACTTAGACATCCCCTTCCTTTCTCCCCAAGGATATTGTGTATGTACTGTATAATTATAAATGCATACTATTACATATTATGAAATGTAACATATAAAATATAAATGTTAATTATATTAGTGAACATTTATGAGAAACATTGAGATGATCTCCCTAACATGAGAGCCTGGGGGAAAGTGGGACTATCATGTCTGTCTTGCAGATTTCACCTCCCCAGAGCTCAGCCACTTAGTGCTGTTACACCTTTCCTACCACCTCTGCCAGCCAATCCTGTCTTGTGGGGAATCTGACCTCCCTATTGGCTATCGCAGACCTTTAAACTGCCTGCTTTGTGACATCATTCTCCCACCAAACCGACCGCCACCTGGTAGCATCTTGGGGTTTCCTGGGCGTGGCCTGTAAATTTGTATCATCACAAGGGGCCAGTGACCAGTAACCAGTGACCAGTGGCCTTCATACTGGACACATGCACTGGTTGGCTTCAGCCACCCAGACATCCGCTAGTATCGTCTCTTCTTCCCTTCTATCTGCAGTTGATGTTTCTTCTTCTCTGACCATGTCAGGTAAAGAAAGAAACTTCTTAAAAAGGTTTTCATGAGATTTCTTTGCCACTAAATTTAGGTTTCTTCCCCCCTATATTCCCAAACAGCTTGGAATAACAGGGAAATTATTGAAGTAGAAATCCAGAGACCTCATTTCAGTTTTGGCTTTGACATTTACTAGCTGTGTGACTTTAGATAACGTTTATTCTCTCATAAAATCTGTTTCCTCATCTATTACACTAGGATAATAGACTGGTTATTCCCCCTGGCCCTTTTCTTTTCTAATACTGAGTCTTAAAGGGTATATGTATAGAAAATGAAATCAGAGACTTTCTGAGAGTGTTCATTTCAACAGAAACAGAGAAAAAACCAAAGTGGTCTAGAAAACTAGCAATATATTCTGAGATGTTTCATGTGTAATAGTCTCCCTCTACTAATATTTCAACTTTCGTATTTTAAATTTAGTGATGCTTAGTGATGTTTTAAATAATATTCAGCCAGGCACGGTGGCTCATACCTGTAATCTCAGCACTTTGGGAGGCCATCTCCCTCACTAATATTTCAACTTTCCTATTTTAAATTTAGTGATGTTTACTGATGTGTAGTGATGTTTTTAATATTCAGTTGGGCGTGGTAGCTCATGCCTGCAATATCAATGCTTTGGGAGCCTGAGGTGGGAGGATCGCTTTGGGCCTAGGAGTTCCCGGCCAGTCTGGGCAACATGGCAAGACCCCATCTCTACAAAAACTTTTTAAGACTCAGCCAGGGTTGGGTGTATGCCAGCTACGCAGGAGGCTGAGGTGGGAGGATCAGAGGACTGCTTGAGCCCAGGAGGCTGAGACTGCAGTGAGCCATGTTCATACCACTGGACTTCAGCCTGGGTGACAAAGTGAGACCCTGTCACAAACAAACAAACAAACAAACAAACAAAAAAGAAAAGTAGTATTCACGTTTTGGACATTCCTATCTAAACTAGGTGGAAAGAGAAAATGGAGAGTACTGGGTTCTAAGGAGGCAGGTATTCTAGGGTAAGTAATTTGGTATTTTAATTTAAGCAGAAAGACATGGTCCCCTACTTTTCCCCTTGGGATATGCCCTGGAGAATGACAAAATGATTTTAAAAGAAAAAAATATATTTTAAATTTGAAAAAAAAAAGCAGAAGGACAACAGAGTGAAATGTATTCAGAGTAGGGCAAAATGAAGTTGATTTTAGCAAATGCTTAGATCAATGGACGAGAAAGGAAACAGGCTACATTACATATCCCTAGGAAAAGCAGCTTATCAGAAGTCATATTCAGTCACTTTTTTCTGTTGCCTTTTTGAACATAGATGACACTTGACAGTTTGTAATATAAACATTTTGGAAATATGTTTTAGAGGCCGGGCACGGTGGCTTACGCCTGTAAACCAAGCACTTTGGGAGGCCGAGGTGGGCTGATCACCTGAGGTCAGGAGTGTGAGACAAGCCTGACCAACAAGGAGAAACCCCATCTCTACTAAAAATACCAAATTAGCCGGGCATGGTGGCACATGCGTGTAATCCCAGCTATTTGGGAGGCTGAGGCAGGAGAATCGCTTGAACCCGAGAGGCAAAGGTTGTGGTGAGCCAAGATCGCGCCATTGCACTCCAGTCTGGGCAATAAGAGCGAAACTCCGCTTCAAAAGAAAAAAAAAAGAAACCAACATGTTTTAGAAATGAGGCTTCCAGGCGGGGTGCGGTGGCTCACGCCTGTAATCACAGCACTTTGCGAGGCTGAGGTGGGAAGATCACCGGAGGTCAGGAGTTGGAGACCAGCCTGGCCAACGTGGTCAAACCCCATCTCTACTAAGAATACAAAAATTAGCTGGGTGTGGTGGTGTGCACCTTTAATCCTACGTACTTGGGAGGCTCAGGCATCAGAATTGCTTGAACCAGGGAGGCGCATGATGCAGTGAGCCGAGATCGTGCCACTGCCCTCCAGCCTAGGCGACAGAGCGAGACTCCATCTAAAAACAAACAAACAAATAAACAAACAAATGATCAATGCAGGTATCTCTAAAAGCTTACCACCAAGGAAAATGATTATATCCATAGATTTCCTCCCCCAAACCAGCTTAGTCCACACGTAAATCATTAGCAACTCAGCCCTAACTCATTTTATCACAGTTACAAGAGAAGTTAGTGAGAAAAGCACTAACTAGGAAAATGAAAACCAAGGCAATCCAAGTCAACTTGGGCTCACTGCAGACATCTGTTCCTTATGCTTGGGCACACAGCACAACTCACAACAGTGCCTTTTTCACAGACCCCTCTTTAATTTCCTCCACAAAACCCATCAGGTCACCATAGTTCATGATGTTTCAAAATAAACAACCATCATGAGAAAAACATGCAGTACGTCTTACAATCTTGTATTCCTTAAAAATATGACAAGGAAAAAACATGTAGAAAAACCAGAGGATTTAAAAGCAATCTACAGGCCACGCACGGTGGCTCACACCTGTAATCCCAGCACTTTGCGAGGCTGAGGCAGGAAGATCAACCGAGGTCAGGAGTTTGAGACCAGCCTGGACAACATGGTGAAACCTTGTCCTTAATAAAAATACAAAAATTAGCCAGGGATAGTGGCGGCACCCGTTATCCCAGCCACTTGGGAGGCTGAGGCAGGAGAATCACTTGGACCAAGGAGGCAGAGGTTGCAGTGAGCCAAGACCGTGCCACTGCACTCCAGCCTGGGCAAAAGAGTGAAATTCTGTCTCACTCTTATAAATAAAATAAAGTTAATAAAACAAAAGCAATTTACATTCTACAGACATACTAATGAATGACATAAATGAGGTAATACGGTATAAAACAAAATGGAAAAAATACATTATGATTATTTTCTTCAGTGTACAGAAGTCATGGAAGTTCTGGACTATCTAGCTACATAAAAAATATTGGGCCAGGCGCAGTGGCACACGCCTGTAATCCCAGCACTTTGGGAGGCTGAGGTGGGCAGATCCCAAGGTCAGGAGACCATCCTGGCTGACACGGTGAAACCCCGTCTCTACAAAAAAATACAAAAAATTAGCCGGGCATGGTGGCGAGTACCTGTAATCCCAGCTACTCGGGAGGCTGAGGCACGAGAATGGTGTGAACCTGGGAGGCAGAGCTTGAAGCTAGCAGAGATCGGCCACTGCCCTCCAGCCTGGGTGACAGAGAGAGACTCTGTCTCAAAAAAAAAAAAAAAAAGAATTGTCTATTTTGTTAATACAAAATAGGTATGTTGAATTGTTTGTCACAGAAACCAAAAAATCCACATAAATCTCTTTTTTCCTGTACCCTCACCTTGCCTGTTTCCTATTCTCCACTAAATGCTTTAACTCTTCATTTTGCCTGGCCCTTGCACCCAAGCATGGCTGACAGAAAATCCTAAAGGCCCAAGATTCTATAGTGGCTGTTTGCAAGGGAGACGAGGCTATAAGTAACTGCCACACTGGATCCTCTTATGTGAGAAGAAAGAAAGTATCCAGAATGCCTCTCACATATAAAAGAGCAGGATGGCAGGGTGTCTGTGTGGCCCAAGGAGCCAGAGGTAGCAAACTGTGGGCAAAAGAATTGTGACCAAAGGCTAGAAGAGAGAAGGTCTGCAGTCAGCCTTGTCTTCTACCTCTCTGCTGTTTGCTTCTCATGAGGAGAGTCCGTTTTCCACACATCGGGACACTGAAAAGAAGACTCCTGCTCTGGAAGTTGACAAGAAGGAATATTCACGAATGTAAAAATGCAAGATCAAGGCTTGGCCCAGAAACAATGCCTAAAATCAAGGGGTTAAAAAAGGGAGAGCAGAAGAGAGATCCAAGTCCAACCTGGCCCAGCCCAAAGAAGGTGGAATTCAAGGAGAAGAAACTAAAAGAGAAGAGCCTTGGACCACATCATTTCCTACAAGGGGCAGTCAAGGAACTTTGCTGTTCAAGTTACAAAAGGGGGTTCTTTAATCCCTTCCTCTGGCCATTAAAAGCGGCAGTGGGGCCAGGCGCGGTGGCTCCCGCCTGTAATCCCAGCACTCTGGGAGGCAGATGCGGGCGGATCACGAGGTCAGGTGATCGAGACCATCCTGGCTAACAGGGTGAAACCCTGTCCCTACTAAAAATACAAAAAATTAGCCGGCTGAAGTGGCAGGCGCCTGTAGTCCCAGCTACTCAGGAGGCTGAGGCAGTAGAATAGCGTGAACCTGGGAGGTGGTGCTTGCAGTGAGCCAAGATCACGCCACTGCACTCCAGCCTGGGTGACAGAGCCAGACTCCATCTCACAAAAAATACAATAAAATTAAAAAGCAGCAGTAAATTCATTAATCAGATTCACTGAAATAGTTTTAGAACAACTGTAATTGCTCAACTTAGACATCCCCTTCCTTTCTCCCCAAGGATATTGTGTATGTACTGTATAATTATAAATGCATACTATTACATATTATGAAATGTAACATATAAAATATAAATGTTAATTATATTAGTGAACATTTATGAGAAACATTGAGATGATCTCCCTAACATGAGAGCCTGGGGGAAAGTGGGACTATCATGTCTGTCTTGCAGATTTCACCTCCCCAGAGCTCAGCCACTTAGTGCTGTTACACCTTTCCTACCACCTCTGCCAGCCAATCCTGTCTTGTGGGGAATCTGACCTCCCTATTGGCTATCGCAGACCTTTAAACTGCCTGCTTTGTGACATCATTCTCCCACCAAACCGACCGCCACCTGGTAGCATCTTGGGGTTTCCTGGGCGTGGCCTGTAAATTTGTATCATCACAAGGGGCCAGTGACCAGTAACCAGTGACCAGTGGCCTTCATACTGGACACATGCACTGGTTGGCTTCAGCCACCCAGACATCCGCTAGTATCGTCTCTTCTTCCCTTCTATCTGCAGTTGATGTTTCTTCTTCTCTGACCATGTCAGGTAAAGAAAGAAACTTCTTAAAAAGGTTTTCATGAGATTTCTTTGCCACTAAATTTAGGTTTCTTCCCCCCTATATTCCCAAACAGCTTGGAATAACAGGGAAATTATTGAAGTAGAAATCCAGAGACCTCATTTCAGTTTTGGCTTTGACATTTACTAGCTGTGTGACTTTAGATAACGTTTATTCTCTCATAAAATCTGTTTCCTCATCTATTACACTAGGATAATAGACTGGTTATTCCCCCTGGCCCTTTTCTTTTCTAATACTGAGTCTTAAAGGGTATATGTATAGAAAATGAAATCAGAGACTTTCTGAGAGTGTTCATTTCAACAGAAACAGAGAAAAAACCAAAGTGGTCTAGAAAACTAGCAATATATTCTGAGATGTTTCATGTGTAATAGTCTCCCTCTACTAATATTTCAACTTTCGTATTTTAAATTTAGTGATGCTTAGTGATGTTTTAAATAATATTCAGCCAGGCACGGTGGCTCATACCTGTAATCTCAGCACTTTGGGAGGCCATCTCCCTCACTAATATTTCAACTTTCCTATTTTAAATTTAGTGATGTTTACTGATGTGTAGTGATGTTTTTAATATTCAGTTGGGCGTGGTAGCTCATGCCTGCAATATCAATGCTTTGGGAGCCTGAGGTGGGAGGATCGCTTTGGGCCTAGGAGTTCCCGGCCAGTCTGGGCAACATGGCAAGACCCCATCTCTACAAAAACTTTTTAAGACTCAGCCAGGGTTGGGTGTATGCCAGCTACGCAGGAGGCTGAGGTGGGAGGATCAGAGGACTGCTTGAGCCCAGGAGGCTGAGACTGCAGTGAGCCATGTTCATACCACTGGACTTCAGCCTGGGTGACAAAGTGAGACCCTGTCACAAACAAACAAACAAACAAACAAACAAAAAAGAAAAGTAGTATTCACGTTTTGGACATTCCTATCTAAACTAGGTGGAAAGAGAAAATGGAGAGTACTGGGTTCTAAGGAGGCAGGTATTCTAGGGTAAGTAATTTGGTATTTTAATTTAAGCAGAAAGACATGGTCCCCTACTTTTCCCCTTGGGATATGCCCTGGAGAATGACAAAATGATTTTAAAAGAAAAAAATATATTTTAAATTTGAAAAAAAAAAGCAGAAGGACAACAGAGTGAAATGTATTCAGAGTAGGGCAAAATGAAGTTGATTTTAGCAAATGCTTAGATCAATGGACGAGAAAGGAAACAGGCTACATTACATATCCCTAGGAAAAGCAGCTTATCAGAAGTCATATTCAGTCACTTTTTTCTGTTGCCTTTTTGAACATAGATGACACTTGACAGTTTGTAATATAAACATTTTGGAAATATGTTTTAGAGGCCGGGCACGGTGGCTTACGCCTGTAAACCAAGCACTTTGGGAGGCCGAGGTGGGCTGATCACCTGAGGTCAGGAGTGTGAGACAAGCCTGACCAACAAGGAGAAACCCCATCTCTACTAAAAATACCAAATTAGCCGGGCATGGTGGCACATGCGTGTAATCCCAGCTATTTGGGAGGCTGAGGCAGGAGAATCGCTTGAACCCGAGAGGCAAAGGTTGTGGTGAGCCAAGATCGCGCCATTGCACTCCAGTCTGGGCAATAAGAGCGAAACTCCGCTTCAAAAGAAAAAAAAAAGAAACCAACATGTTTTAGAAATGAGGCTTCCAGGCGGGGTGCGGTGGCTCACGCCTGTAATCACAGCACTTTGCGAGGCTGAGGTGGGAAGATCACCGGAGGTCAGGAGTTGGAGACCAGCCTGGCCAACGTGGTCAAACCCCATCTCTACTAAGAATACAAAAATTAGCTGGGTGTGGTGGTGTGCACCTTTAATCCTACGTACTTGGGAGGCTCAGGCATCAGAATTGCTTGAACCAGGGAGGCGCATGATGCAGTGAGCCGAGATCGTGCCACTGCCCTCCAGCCTAGGCGACAGAGCGAGACTCCATCTAAAAACAAACAAACAAATAAACAAACAAATGATCAATGCAGGTATCTCTAAAAGCTTACCACCAAGGAAAATGATTATATCCATAGATTTCCTCCCCCAAACCAGCTTAGTCCACACGTAAATCATTAGCAACTCAGCCCTAACTCATTTTATCACAGTTACAAGAGAAGTTAGTGAGAAAAGCACTAACTAGGAAAATGAAAACCAAGGCAATCCAAGTCAACTTGGGCTCACTGCAGACATCTGTTCCTTATGCTTGGGCACACAGCACAACTCACAACAGTGCCTTTTTCACAGACCCCTCTTTAATTTCCTCCACAAAACCCATCAGGTCACCATAGTTCATGATGTTTCAAAATAAACAACCATCATGAGAAAAACATGCAGTACGTCTTACAATCTTGTATTCCTTAAAAATATGACAAGGAAAAAACATGTAGAAAAACCAGAGGATTTAAAAGCAATCTACAGGCCACGCACGGTGGCTCACACCTGTAATCCCAGCACTTTGCGAGGCTGAGGCAGGAAGATCAACCGAGGTCAGGAGTTTGAGACCAGCCTGGACAACATGGTGAAACCTTGTCCTTAATAAAAATACAAAAATTAGCCAGGGATAGTGGCGGCACCCGTTATCCCAGCCACTTGGGAGGCTGAGGCAGGAGAATCACTTGGACCAAGGAGGCAGAGGTTGCAGTGAGCCAAGACCGTGCCACTGCACTCCAGCCTGGGCAAAAGAGTGAAATTCTGTCTCACTCTTATAAATAAAATAAAGTTAATAAAACAAAAGCAATTTACATTCTACAGACATACTAATGAATGACATAAATGAGGTAATACGGTATAAAACAAAATGGAAAAAATACATTATGATTATTTTCTTCAGTGTACAGAAGTCATGGAAGTTCTGGACTATCTAGCTACATAAAAAATATTGGGCCAGGCGCAGTGGCACACGCCTGTAATCCCAGCACTTTGGGAGGCTGAGGTGGGCAGATCCCAAGGTCAGGAGACCATCCTGGCTGACACGGTGAAACCCCGTCTCTACAAAAAAATACAAAAAATTAGCCGGGCATGGTGGCGAGTACCTGTAATCCCAGCTACTCGGGAGGCTGAGGCACGAGAATGGTGTGAACCTGGGAGGCAGAGCTTGAAGCTAGCAGAGATCGGCCACTGCCCTCCAGCCTGGGTGACAGAGAGAGACTCTGTCTCAAAAAAAAAAAAAAAGAATTGTCTATTTTGTTAATACAAAATAGGTATGTTGAATTGTTTGTCACAGAAACCAAAAAATCCACATAAATCTCTTTTTTCCTGTACCCTCACCTTGCCTGTTTCCTATTCTCCACTAAATGCTTCAACTCTTCATTTTGCCTGGCCCTTGCACCCAAGCATGGCTGACAGAAAATCCTAAAGGCCCAAGATTCTATAGTGGCTGTTTGCAAGGGAGACGAGGCTATAAGTAACTGCCACACTGGATCCTCTTATGTGAGAAGAAAGAAAGAAAGTATCCTGAATGCCTCTCACATATAAAAGAGCAGGATGGCAGGGTGTCTGTGTGGCCCAAGGAGCCAGAGGTAGCAAACTGTGGGCAAAAGAATTGTGACCAAAGGCTAGAAGAGGGAAGGTCTGCAGTCAGCCTTGTCTTCTACCTCTCTGCTGTTTGCTTCTCATGAGCAGAGTCCGTTTTCCAAACATCAGGACACTGAAAAGAAGACTCCTGCTCTGGAAGTTGACAAGAAGGAATATCCACGAATGTAAAAATGCAAGATCAAGGCTTGGCCCAGAAACAATGCCTAAAATCAAGGGGTTAAAAATGGGAGAGCAGAAGAGAGATCCAAGTCCAACCTGGCCCAGCCCAAAGAAGGTGGAATTCAAGGAGAAGAAACTAAAAGAGAAGAGCCTTGGACCACATCATTTCCTACAAGGGGCAGTCAACGAACTTTGCTGTTCAAGTTACGAAAGGGGGTTCTTTAATCCCTTCCTCTGGCCATTAAAAGCGGCAGTGGGGCCAGGCGCGGTGGCTCCCGCCTGTAATCCCAGCACTCTGGGAGGCAGATGCGGGCGGATCACGAGGTCAGGTGATCGAGACCATCCTGGCTAACAGGGTGAAACCCTGTCCCTACTAAAAATACAAAAAATTAGCCGGCTGAAGTGGCAGGCGCCTGTAGTCCCAGCTACTCAGGAGGCTGAGGCAGTAGAATAGCGTGAACCTGGGAGGTGGTGCTTGCAGTGAGCCAAGATCACGCCACTGCACTCCAGCCTGGGTGACAGAGCCAGACTCCATCTCACAAAAAATACAATAAAATTAAAAAGCAGCAGTAAATTCATTAATCAGATTCACTGAAATAGTTTTAGAACAACTGTAATTGCTCAACTTAGACATCCCCTTCCTTTCTCCCCAAGGATATTGTGTATGTACTGTATAATTATAAATGCATACTATTACATATTATGAAATGTAACATATAAAATATAAATGTTAATTATATTAGTGAACATTTATGAGAAACATTGAGATGATCTCCCTAACATGAGAGCCTGGGGGAAAGTGGGACTATCATGTCTGTCTTGCAGATTTCACCTCCCCAGAGCTCAGCCACTTAGTGCTGTTACACCTTTCCTACCACCTCTGCCAGCCAATCCTGTCTTGTGGGGAATCTGACCTCCCTATTGGCTATCGCAGACCTTTAAACTGCCTGCTTTGTGACATCATTCTCCCACCAAACCGACCGCCACCTGGTAGCATCTTGGGGTTTCCTGGGCGTGGCCTGTAAATTTGTATCATCACAAGGGGCCAGTGACCAGTAACCAGTGACCAGTGGCCTTCATACTGGACACATGCACTGGTTGGCTTCAGCCACCCAGACATCCGCTAGTATCGTCTCTTCTTCCCTTCTATCTGCAGTTGATGTTTCTTCTTCTCTGACCATGTCAGGTAAAGAAAGAAACTTCTTAAAAAGGTTTTCATGAGATTTCTTTGCCACTAAATTTAGGTTTCTTCCCCCCTATATTCCCAAACAGCTTGGAATAACAGGGAAATTATTGAAGTAGAAATCCAGAGACCTCATTTCAGTTTTGGCTTTGACATTTACTAGCTGTGTGACTTTAGATAACGTTTATTCTCTCATAAAATCTGTTTCCTCATCTATTACACTAGGATAATAGACTGGTTATTCCCCCTGGCCCTTTTCTTTTCTAATACTGAGTCTTAAAGGGTATATGTATAGAAAATGAAATCAGAGACTTTCTGAGAGTGTTCATTTCAACAGAAACAGAGAAAAAACCAAAGTGGTCTAGAAAACTAGCAATATATTCTGAGATGTTTCATGTGTAATAGTCTCCCTCTACTAATATTTCAACTTTCGTATTTTAAATTTAGTGATGCTTAGTGATGTTTTAAATAATATTCAGCCAGGCACGGTGGCTCATACCTGTAATCTCAGCACTTTGGGAGGCCATCTCCCTCACTAATATTTCAACTTTCCTATTTTAAATTTAGTGATGTTTACTGATGTGTAGTGATGTTTTTAATATTCAGTTGGGCGTGGTAGCTCATGCCTGCAATATCAATGCTTTGGGAGCCTGAGGTGGGAGGATCGCTTTGGGCCTAGGAGTTCCCGGCCAGTCTGGGCAACATGGCAAGACCCCATCTCTACAAAAACTTTTTAAGACTCAGCCAGGGTTGGGTGTATGCCAGCTACGCAGGAGGCTGAGGTGGGAGGATCAGAGGACTGCTTGAGCCCAGGAGGCTGAGACTGCAGTGAGCCATGTTCATACCACTGGACTTCAGCCTGGGTGACAAAGTGAGACCCTGTCACAAACAAACAAACAAACAAACAAACAAAAAAGAAAAGTAGTATTCACGTTTTGGACATTCCTATCTAAACTAGGTGGAAAGAGAAAATGGAGAGTACTGGGTTCTAAGGAGGCAGGTATTCTAGGGTAAGTAATTTGGTATTTTAATTTAAGCAGAAAGACATGGTCCCCTACTTTTCCCCTTGGGATATGCCCTGGAGAATGACAAAATGATTTTAAAAGAAAAAAATATATTTTAAATTTGAAAAAAAAAAGCAGAAGGACAACAGAGTGAAATGTATTCAGAGTAGGGCAAAATGAAGTTGATTTTAGCAAATGCTTAGATCAATGGACGAGAAAGGAAACAGGCTACATTACATATCCCTAGGAAAAGCAGCTTATCAGAAGTCATATTCAGTCACTTTTTTCTGTTGCCTTTTTGAACATAGATGACACTTGACAGTTTGTAATATAAACATTTTGGAAATATGTTTTAGAGGCCGGGCACGGTGGCTTACGCCTGTAAACCAAGCACTTTGGGAGGCCGAGGTGGGCTGATCACCTGAGGTCAGGAGTGTGAGACAAGCCTGACCAACAAGGAGAAACCCCATCTCTACTAAAAATACCAAATTAGCCGGGCATGGTGGCACATGCGTGTAATCCCAGCTATTTGGGAGGCTGAGGCAGGAGAATCGCTTGAACCCGAGAGGCAAAGGTTGTGGTGAGCCAAGATCGCGCCATTGCACTCCAGTCTGGGCAATAAGAGCGAAACTCCGCTTCAAAAGAAAAAAAAAAGAAACCAACATGTTTTAGAAATGAGGCTTCCAGGCGGGGTGCGGTGGCTCACGCCTGTAATCACAGCACTTTGCGAGGCTGAGGTGGGAAGATCACCGGAGGTCAGGAGTTGGAGACCAGCCTGGCCAACGTGGTCAAACCCCATCTCTACTAAGAATACAAAAATTAGCTGGGTGTGGTGGTGTGCACCTTTAATCCTACGTACTTGGGAGGCTCAGGCATCAGAATTGCTTGAACCAGGGAGGCGCATGATGCAGTGAGCCGAGATCGTGCCACTGCCCTCCAGCCTAGGCGACAGAGCGAGACTCCATCTAAAAACAAACAAACAAATAAACAAACAAATGATCAATGCAGGTATCTCTAAAAGCTTACCACCAAGGAAAATGATTATATCCATAGATTTCCTCCCCCAAACCAGCTTAGTCCACACGTAAATCATTAGCAACTCAGCCCTAACTCATTTTATCACAGTTACAAGAGAAGTTAGTGAGAAAAGCACTAACTAGGAAAATGAAAACCAAGGCAATCCAAGTCAACTTGGGCTCACTGCAGACATCTGTTCCTTATGCTTGGGCACACAGCACAACTCACAACAGTGCCTTTTTCACAGACCCCTCTTTAATTTCCTCCACAAAACCCATCAGGTCACCATAGTTCATGATGTTTCAAAATAAACAACCATCATGAGAAAAACATGCAGTATGTCTTACAATCTTGTATTCCTTAAAAATATGACAAGGAAAAAACATGTAGAAAAACCAGAGGATTTAAAAGCAATCTACAGGCCACGCACGGTGGCTCACACCTGTAATCCCAGCACTTTGCGAGGCTGAGGCAGGAAGATCAACCGAGGTCAGGAGTTTGAGACCAGCCTGGACAACATGGTGAAACCTTGTCCTTAATAAAAATACAAAAATTAGCCAGGGATAGTGGCGGCACCCGTTATCCCAGCCACTTGGGAGGCTGAGGCAGGAGAATCACTTGGACCAAGGAGGCAGAGGTTGCAGTGAGCCAAGACCGTGCCACTGCACTCCAGCCTGGGCAAAAGAGTGAAATTCTGTCTCACTCTTATAAATAAAATAAAGTTAATAAAACAAAAGCAATTTACATTCTACAGACATACTAATGAATGACATAAATGAGGTAATACGGTATAAAACAAAATGGAAAAAATACATTATGATTATTTTCTTCAGTGTACAGAAGTCATGGAAGTTCTGGACTATCTAGCTACATAAAAAATATTGGGCCAGGCGCAGTGGCACACGCCTGTAATCCCAGCACTTTGGGAGGCTGAGGTGGGCAGATCCCAAGGTCAGGAGACCATCCTCGCTGACACGGTGAAACCCCGTCTCTACAAAAAAATACAAAAAATTAGCCGGGCATGGTGGCGAGTACCTGTAATCCCAGCTACTCGGGAGACTAAGGCACGAGAATGGTGTGAACCTGGGAGGCAGAGCTTGAAGCTAGCAGAGATCGGCCACTGCCCTCCAGCCTGGGTGACAGAGAGAGACTCTGTCTCAAAAAAAAAAAAAAAGAATTGTCTATTTTGTTAATACAAAATAGGTATGTTGAATTGTTTGTCACAGAAACCAAAAAATCCACATAAATCTCTTTTTTCCTGTACCCTCACCTTGCCTGTTTCCTATTCTCCACTAAATGCTTCAACTCTTCATTTTGCCTGGCCCTTGCACCCAAGCATGGCTGACAGAAAATCCTAAAGGCCCAAGATTCTATAGTGGCTGTTTGCAAGGGAGACGAGGCTATAAGTAACTGCCACACTGGATCCTCTTATGTGAGAAGAAAGAAAGAAAGTATCCTGAATGCCTCTCACATATAAAAGAGCAGGATGGCAGGGTGTCTGTGTGGCCCAAGGAGCCAGAGGTAGCAAACTGTGGGCAAAAGAATTGTGACCAAAGGCTAGAAGAGGGAAGGTCTGCAGTCAGCCTTGTCTTCTACCTCTCTGCTGTTTGCTTCTCATGAGCAGAGTCCGTTTTCCAAACATCAGGACACTGAAAAGAAGACTCCTGCTCTGGAAGTTGACAAGAAGGAATATCCACGAATGTAAAAATGCAAGATCAAGGCTTGGCCCAGAAACAATGCCTAAAATCAAGGGGTTAAAAATGGGAGAGCAGAAGAGAGATCCAAGTCCAACCTGGCCCAGCCCAAAGAAGGTGGAATTCAAGGAGAAGAAACTAAAAGAGAAGAGCCTTGGACCACATCATTTCCTACAAGGGGCAATCAACAAACTTTGCTGTTCAAGTTACAAAAGAGGGTTCTTTAATCTCTTCCTTTGGCCCTTAAAATCGGCAGTAGGGCCGGGTGCGGTGGCTCCCGCCTGTAATCCCAGCACTTTGGGAGGCTGAGGCGAGCAGATCACAAGGTCAGGTGATCGAACCATCCTGGCTAACAGGGTGAAACCCTGTCCCTACTAAAAATACAAAAAATTAGCCGGCTGAAGTGGCAGGCGCCTGTAGTCCCAGCTACTAAGGAGTCTGAGGCAGGAGAATGGCGTGAACCTGGGAGGTGGTGCTTGCAGTGAGCCAAGATCACGCCACTGCACTCCAGCCTGGGTGACAGAGCCAGACTCCATCTCACAAAAAATTCAATAAAATAAAAAAGCAGCAGTAAATTCATTAATCAGATTCACTGAAATAGTTTTAGAACAACTGTAATTGCTCAACTTAGACATCCCCTTCCTTTCTCCCCAAGGATATTGTGTATGTACTGTATAATTATAAATGCATAGTATTATATAATATGAAATGTAACACATTAAATATAAATGTTAATTATATTAGTGAACATTTATGAGAAACATTGAGATGATCTCCCTAACATGAGAGCCTGGGGGAAAGTGGGACTATCATGTCTGTCTTGCAGATTTCACCTCCCCAGAGCTCAGCCACTTAGTGCTGTTACACCTTTCCTACCACCTCTGCCAGCCAATCCTGTCTTGTGGGGAATCTGACCTCCCTATTGGCTATCGCAGACCTTTAAACTGCCTGCTTTGTGACATCATTCTCCCACCAAACCAACTGCCACCTGGTAGAATCTTGGGGTTTCCTGGGCGTGGCCTGTAAATTTGTATCATCACAAGGGGCCAGTGACCAGTAACCAGTGACCAGTGGCCTTCATACTGGACACATGCACTGGTTGGCTTCAGCCACCCAGACATCCGCTAGTATCGTCTCTTCTTCCCTTCTATCTGCAGTTGATGTTTCTTCTTCTCTGACCATGTCAGGTAAAGAGAGAAACTTTTTAAAAAGGTTTTCATGAGATTTCTTTGCCACTAAATTTAGATTTCTTTCCCCCTATATTCCCAAACAGCTTGGAATAACAGGGAAAGTATTGAAGTAGAAATCCAGAGACCTCATTTCAGTTTTGGCTTTGACATTAACTAGCTGTGTGACTTTAGATAACTTTTATTCTCTCACAAAATCTGTTTCCTCATCTATTACACTAGGATAATAGACTGGTTATTCCCCCTGGCCTTTTTCTTTTCTAATACTGAGTCTTAAAGGGTATACGTATAGAAAATGAAATCAGAGACTTTCTGAGAGTGTTCATTTCAACAGAAACAGAGAAAAAACCAAAGTGGTCTAGAAAACTAGCAATATATTCTGAGATGTTTCATGTGTAATAGTCTCCCTCCACTAATATTTCAACTTTCGTATTTTAAATTTAGTGATGTTTAGTGATGTTTTAAATAATATTCAGCCAGGCACGGTGGCTCACACCTGTAATCTCAGCACTTTGGGAGGCCATCTCCCTCACTAATATTTCAACTTTCCTATTTTAAATTTAGTGATGTTTACTGATGTGTAGTGATGTTTTTAATATTCAGTTGGGCGTGGTAGCTCATGCCTGCAATGTCAATGCTTTGGGAGCCTGAGGTGGGAGGATCGCTTTGGGCCTAGGAGTTCCCGGCCAGTCTGGGCAACATGGCAAGACCCCATCTCTACAAAAACTTTTTAAAACTCAGCCAGGGTTGGGGGTGTGCCAGCTACTCAGGAAGCTGAGGTGGGAGGATCAGACGCTGCTTGAGCCCAGGAGGTTGAGGCTGCAGTGAGTCAGGTTCACACCACTGGACTTCAGCCTGAGTGACAAAGTGAGACCCTGTCACAAAGAAACAAATAAACAAACAAAAGTAATATTCATGTTTTGGACATTCCTATCTAAACTAGGTGGAAAGAGAAAATGGAGAGTACTGGGTTATAAGGAGGCAGGTATTCTAGAGTAAGGAATTTGGTATTTTAATTAAAGCAGAAAGACAGGGTCCCCTACTTTTCCCCTTGGGATATGCCCTGGAGAATGACGAAATGATTTTAAAATAAAAAAATATATTTTAAATTTGAAAAAAAAAGCAAAAGGACAACAGAGTGAAATCTATTCAAAATAGAGCAAAATGAAGTTGGTTTTAGCAAATGCTTAGATCAAAGGACTAGGAAGGAAACAGGCTAGAATAGAGTATCCCTAGAAAAAGCACCTTATCAGAAGTCATATTCAGTTGTTTTTTTTCTGTTGCCTTTTTGAACATAGATGACACTTGACAGTTTTTAATATAAACATTTTAGAAATATGCTTTAGAGGCCGGGCAGGATGGCTCACACCTGTAATCCCAGCACTTTGGGAGGCCGAGGTGGGCTGATGACCTGAGGTCAGTTCAAGACCAGCCTGACCAACATGGAGAAACCCTGTCTCTACTAAAAATACAAAATTAGCCGGGCATGGTGGCACATGCCTGTAATCCCAGCTACTTGGGAGGCTGAGGCAGGAGAATCGTTTGAACCCAGGAGGTGTAGGTTGCAGTGAGCCTAGATCATGCCATTGCACTCCAGCATGGGCAACAAGAGCGAAACTCTGTCTCAAAAAGAAAATATATATATATATATACATAAAATATATATGTATATTTTATGTATATTATATATATACATAAAATATATATATTTTATATATATACATAATATATATATGTATATTTTATGTATATATCTATAATATATATAATATAATAAAATATACATATATATTTTATATATATATAATATACATATAAAATATACATACATAAAATATACATGTATATTTTATGTATATATAATATATATATAAAATATACATGTATATTTTATATATATAATATACATGTATAATTAATATACATGTATGTTATATATATTACATGTATATTATATATAATATACATATAAATTTTAAATTTAGTGTATATTACATGTATATTATATATAATATATGTATATTATATAATATAAATGTATGTTATATATAATATACATGTATATTTCATATATATATATATATATGTTTTAGAAATGATGCCTCCAGGCCGAGCTCGGTGGCTCACACCTATAATCCCAGCACTTTGGGAGGCTGAGGCGGGTGGATCACCTGAGGTCAGGAGTTCGAGATCAGCCTGGCCAACATGGTGAAATCCCATCTCTACTAAAAATACAAAAATTAGCTGGGTGTGGTGACAGGCGCCTGTAAACCCAGCTACTTGGGAGGCTTAGGCAGGAGAATCTCTGGAACCTGGGAGGCAGAGGTTGCAGTGAGCCGAGATCTTGCCACTGCACTCCAGTCTGTAGGATAGAGCAGGACCCCATCTCAAAAGAAAAGAAAAGAAATGTTGCTTCCTACAAACAAGAAACTAATAAGTGGTTACCTAGAGAGCTGGAGGACATGTAATTTGCAGTGTGCTGTTTCTAATTTTTAAATTATATGGATGTTTCTCCTATTAACAATAAAATTAAGTTTTCTGAAAAAAGAATGTATCGTTATTTGCATCAGAAGAACAATACCTTTGCATGAAAAGTAGATTCCAAGTAAAAGCTGCTTTTTTATCTTAATACTTTCTTCCAAAAACAGAGTACCTACTGATTCATAATGGACTGCTTTTAGACCTAAGAATAAAAAGTCAAGCCACATATCAGCCACATATCTCTAATTCCATATCAATCTAAGCCAAATTTTCTGGAGTCCTTTGAACTTTCCTACATTCAAAACATTTTTTAATTGGATTCTAGCAGTTGTTTTTTTTTAAGCTATGGGAATGTCATTTTCCTGGACGTTGGAGATGATTATAATCTAGGTTTTGAGGATAGATATTAAAGTTCTCATGATACTTTTTAAGAGTTCTTTTCTGCTTGTTATGTGGCTACAATAATTTAAATATTACACTAGGATTAATACCTGTCATTTGCTGGGTAATATTCATAGAAATATGAATGAGCATAATAATTCCTTTACACTTATTTTTTGCATTCTACCTTGTACCAGTTTTTATTGAAATATCTATCCACATATATTATGGCTATTTTACATTCACATTTACTGCATTTTTCTGTTTCTTACATACTTTTTGCTTCTTACACACTTTTTGCTGATACAGTTTGTCTATACATTTTCTGCTTCTTACACACTTTTTGCTGATACAATTTCTCTGTCTATATATGCTTGTTAGAAATTCATTCATTCTATTATGGGCTGTTTCTTGGTTAATAGTATTCACTAAGAAAGAGTAGATACTATTCAGTTTCCTAATGTTGCATGTATGGTAACAGCTTTAGTTAGTACTTTACTATGTTTTGATGCTAGCTACATACCCCAATTTTCATTAATATCTATATATTGTTTTAGTTCCATGATTTTATGTTTTTAATTATTTTGTCTGTTTTTTCAGAACTTACTATATCTTCCTCATTATAAGTCATATGTAATCTATCACTTTTATTCATGTATGAATTATCACTGTTATTATTTTACAACTTCTTTATAGACAGGCAGCCTGAAGCTCACAGAGTTTAACTAGCTTTTTTCTTTCAAAAAGCATTTCTTGGCCAGGCATTGTGGCTCACACCTGTAATCCCAGCACTTTGGGACACCGAGGCAGGCAGATAATCTGATGTCAGGAGTTTGAGACCAGCCTGGTAAACATGGCAAAACCCCGTCTCTATTAAAAATGCAAAAAATTAGCCAGGCAGAGTGGCTGCCTGGGTGTCAAGCCACTGCACTCCAGCCTGGGTGACAGAGTAAGACTCTGTCTCAGTAAAAAGAAAAAAGAAAACATTTCTATCAGGTAGTTATTTTGACTAATGATAAAAAGCCAGGCTTGAAGAGGGCAAAGAATGACCTTTTAGATTTACCAATGGCCTGGGTTAAATATAAACTCTAGGACATATCATATGACCTGCAGAAGCAAAATGTGACACTAAGGATTATAAAGGTAATAGCTGTACTATATTCTAGTAGACCAAAAAAATGCCATATTAAAAGTTCTAATTTCCTGGTTTCTGGTCTATGCTCAGAGAAAAGACTCCTGGCAAGGAAGTCAGGTTCTGTAACCTGGTAATGATATTAACATAATGGTAAAACTTAAAACAGGTCAATCTGACCTCTCAGACTCATAAAATGAAATGTTAGAACTTCTCTAAGGACCTCCTAGTTCTAAAATGCTCCAATTCTAGGAAATAGTTATGAGTCTATACTAGCCCAGATTCAAGGGAAAGATAGGGAAGGGAGAAGGTTGCTTCTAGCCTAGGAAATAATGTACGAAACCAGACCATTTGGGTCTTCATATCTGTGTCCAAGTTGGACACAAAGACAGTTCATCAGAAGAGGACCAAACTGCTTCAGCACTCAAGGCCATCATAAACTGTTTGGCTTTTGGTATCTCAGTGAGTATTGGTATTAGAGGCTTCCTGATTGCAACAACCTTAAGATAATGCTAGTCTTCCAATAAGGTGAGAATTTTTCACTCTCATCGGTTTTTTCATCTCTCTCTTGTTTCCTACAGAATATTTCCAAAATACGTCTTTACCTGGAACTGCAAATTCTCGGCAGTTCTCTCTTCCTGTGGTGAGCAATGCAGCTTTCTTAACAGGAAGCATCTCCAACTTCTCCAGAGCCTCTGCTCCAGCCATCAGCTCAGCATGGCTACAGCCATCAGCCTCTGGCACCTCCTTCCAGCCACTCATGGGCAGTGCCTACCTTTACCAACATTCTAGCACAACTATGTTGTCTGGGGTTACTGGCCAGAGCCATATCTGTACTTCAGCTGCCTCTTATCCAGGCGTTTTTGAGTGGGATAGTACAGCAAGCACAGTAAAGAAGTCATCCTCACTCAGGGACTTCACTGTGACTGTCATTGATCAGAACACAGCTGTCTCTTCCATGTCTATGACAGCCCAGTATTATAAAACTTCAGATACCAATACTATGGTCCCTCTGTATCCATCACTATCTGCCAGCCTTGTTCAGGGGACACTAACTCAAATTCCAAATCAGCAGGGCCATAACCTGTCACTTCCCTGCCAGATAGGAAGCCAGGTCTATTACTATAATCAAGGCACACTGGGGCCTCAACTATCCTGCCTGCAATCTTATGGCTCTGTGTCATACACAGGATATAGGGCTTCTGCCCATCAACCAGAAATGGTGATGGTGCTGAAGGAGGTTCAGCCCACAAATGTCCTACCACCAGTCTCTACTTCTGGGATGTATTACTCTGTGTCTTCTCAACCCATCACAGAAACCAGTGTTCAAGGTGAGTACAAACATCAAGAAAGGAGAGGAATAATGTCAGCGTTGAAAAGGAGGGTCAAATCTGTAGCGAGTGGTGAGTCCGTGGATAGGTAGAATTTAAGTCCTGAGACTTCAACCACTATTCTTTGGCAGTGCTCTCCATTTTCAGACTCTATATAAGAACACCTTATAAGTGGGAAAGTGGAACACTGTAATGGCCATCTATGCTACATGTAAGAGAATCGCAAGAGCATACTGAGGGATACACTTTTTAGTGCCCTGACTGATCACTTCCCCCACACTACCACGCTGTAATGTCCTTCCTTAATCTATTACTTTAGTCTCTTTGGAAGGCACTTCAGAACTCTTATTTTGGCGGTGACATTTTGATTTTCCTTAACTTACAATAGGATTTAAGACCTTGTGTTCAGAGATCCTCTCCAAAACAAACAGGCTCAGAATCTGTGCTTGCTTATATATTTCATGAGGAAGGGCTCCACTCTCTACCTTACCCTAGTCCATGGTGTAAACTGTTCTTATTCTCTCAGGAGAGTGGAGAGAATTGAAAGGACCCTGTAAGAATGTGAGGCTGTATAAAACATCTCCTATTTTAAAAATCACTTTCACTTTTTGATCTACAACAACCCTATGAAATACAAAGAAAACCAAGAAACAATCACATCAAATGATAACCAGTAAGAGAACAGTCACTGCCAATCTCCTAATACAGGGTCTTGCCCATGGTCCTTAAGAAGAGCTAGTAGAAATGCCTTGCCCATGTTGGAAAGGTATCCGATTGCTGCACTGGTGTGTAGGGGGAGCATCTCACTTACCAGGGACTGACTTCTTCCTTGATTCCTTTGTAGTGATGGAAACTTCCCTGGGGATGGATACTTCCCTGGGATTGCAATCTCCAAGCCAGACATTTTGTCTGCCACAAACTCCAGAATTCTCCAAGTCCTTCAGTAGCAGAAATACCCAGACACTTGAGAGTAACCCATCACCTGAGCTTGGGGACATTTCAATAACTCCAGTCCAGAGTCCTACTAATCTCTTGACACTGTCTCCAGCTCCAAGCCAGGAAAAAAATGAGAATGAGAATTTGGATGAGATTAAAACCAACCTTTCAAAGCCTCTAGATGTCCACCAGATCCTAATAGGAAATCAAGATCCTCCACTACTTCCTGTAGAAATCCCCGATATTCACCCGCTTCTGGCCTGCATTGATCCTCTTGGCCAAGAGGAGCAGCCTGGTTCTGAAAATGCCAATCTAAGAAATAAGAGCCTGAGTCTTGAGGACCAAGGGATATTTGAAAATGGGATTGAGTCTAGCAGTGATTTGGCAGACATCACTACATGGGTGGAGGATACTTACCTCCCCCCGATCTTCAGTTCCTTACAAGATCTTGACCAACCTGAAAGTCCCTCAGCAAAGAAAGCCAAAGATACCAGTGCCATCAAGGTAAATCAGGTGCAGGAAAAGTCATGTGTCATAAAGGGTCACTCTGATCAAGTCAGGAAGAACAAGCATAAAGCTTCCGAGCCTATCCAGGGTGCTCCCAAGGCCAAAATCCAGCCAAAGAACCCAGAGTGCCTATTAGAGAGAGAAGTGGTTGTTGGCAGTGCTACAGTCAGTAACAGCGCTTCTGTGAACAAGGCCAAGCATTCTAGCAACAAACCTCACAAGGCTGCATCCAGCAGGATCAGCAAAACTAAGAGCCATGGGCAGGAAAAGACCAAAGGGAACAGAAAGAACAGCTCCAAGAAATCTGAAGAGAGTAAGCAGTCAGGGAAAAAAGTCAAGGTAGAAGAGAAGCAAACCATTCCCAATATGAAACGGAAGAAAAATCAACCTGAGCTTAGCCAAAAGACCCTTAAAAAGCCCCGAAGCTCCCTAGGCATGCACATGCTAGAGTCCGTGCAAGTTTTCCATGCACTCGGGAAAAAGATCGATATGAAAACTGGATTCTCTTCCTCCAGGACCCTGGGAAGCTCAAGCAACACCCAAAACCGCCAGCCATTCCCAGCTCTCAAACCATGGCTGGATATCCAACATGAGGGTAAAGGCCCGGAGAAAATTCAAGTCAAGGCCCAGAAACTAGATGGTAGTGCTGAAAAAGAGTGTACATCTCCATCCCACTCTGAGTTGCCACCACCTGGGAAGGTCAAGTTGATACCTTTGCCCTTTCTGACCCTGGACCAACCTCAAGCTCGACATGTTTCTCGGCGGCCAAACCCTCTAGCCTCACGTAGGCCTGCTGTGGCTTACCCTGCTCGACCTGATTCTACTAACTCAGCTCAATCGAATGCAGTCAATCCATCCCGACCAGCTCCTACCAACACATCTTTGACAGGTCCTGCCACACCAGCTCAGCCAATTTCAGCCAAAGCAACCCAACCCAGTTCAGCCAACCCTACCCAGCCTACTGTCCCTCAATCTGCTGCTTCTAGGCCATCAGCCTACAAAACATCATCTTGTTCTTCTCTGCAGCGGGAGCCTGTTTCCACTGCTGTGACCAGTCTCCGGTCACTGCCCAAGCCTCAAAATCAATTTCTAATCCAAGACTTCAGCCTCCAACCCCGTCCATGGAGGAAACCCACTGTTCCTGAGCCAGTAATGTCAACGCCCATCACAGAAGAGCAGAGGCCAGAGCGTGAGGCCATGAAGAGAAAGGCTCAACAAGAGCGTGAGAATGCTGCCAAATACACCTCTTTGGGGAAAGTGCAGTTTTTCATTGAAAGGGAAAGAGATATGGAAATTGCTGAATACTATGGCTACACAATCTAAGAGCTGAGATTGTTGGTTTTACTTTGGATACCGCTGGTTTTCCACATATATAGATAGATACTAATTTATTTATTCTGATATATTTTTAAAACATAATAAAGAAATGTAATAGAATTGATTAATAGATAAGTAATAAAGAGGCCTTTTGAGTTTTGAGATGCTGTTGACTGTGGGTTTTCTTTGGTGGGGGTGGGGATGAAAGGCTGCATTAGAAAGAAGGAATTATGGCCGGGCATGGTGGCTCATGCCTATAATCCCAGCACTTTGGGAGGCCGAGGTGGGTGGATCACCTGAGGTCAGTAGTTCAAGACCAGCCTGGCCAACATGGTGAAACTAAAAATACAAACTAAAAACTAAAAATACAAAAAATTAGCTGGGTGTGGTGGCGGGTGCCTGTAATCCCAGCGTCTCAGGAGGCTGAGGCAGGAGAATCGCTTGAACCCGGGAGGTGGAGGTCAAAGTGAGCCAAGATCGTGCCACTGCACTCCAGCCTGGACAACAGAGTGAGACTGCGTCTCAAAAAAAAAAAAAAAAAAAAAAAAAAAGAAGGAACTAAAAGTTGGATGGGAGAATAGAGAGAAAGAAAGGGATAAGAATTGAGGAAACAGGAAGGAACATGTTCCAGGACTAAGAAGGTCAAATGGGGAGAGATTTTATGGGCTTATACAAAGAATCAGAAATGGGGAAAATGGCAGAAGTAAGATGCAGAATCTGAGGTTAGGACTAAAAGAATAAAATTTGGATATAAATTGAAGATGGCAGAAGATGAGGCTGGGTGGACCAAAAGAAACGTACAAAATCCCCCATGGATGATAGCCTTATGTCTCATGGCCTATCAGATAGGTATTTTAGAAAATAAGATTCAGGTCTCATCAACAGGTTTGGGTTACCTTATACGTATATGATCACAGTTGGGAAAGTGAGTACAAAACATAGGGGAAATCTACCAGGGGAATGGCAAGGGCTCACAGTTCTCCTAGATACAGCTGATAACCTGGGGCCCAGCCAAATGAACTGCAGCAGCATGAAGCTGGCTCAGAACAGACCCCAGAGTATAGATCTCCATTTACTCAACCAACACCTATGCAAGGGGCAGTGAGACGCACTACTTCAGTTCACCTTCACAACAACACACAAGACCAGTAACACTGTGCCACTTTACTAGTGAGGTTCAGCAGTGGGCTTGGGTCACACTGTGTGCAAAGGGGTAAGGCCTGTGGGTCTCCGAAGTCCTCAGCGTTTGCAAGCGCCTGCAGGCAGCCAGCCTGGCTTTCAGACCGCGGAATCCGGAGGTTACAGGCATAATAAATCAAGCTTCTGGAGGGACTTAAATATTAAGAGGCCGCCAGGTCCTCCTCCACCCATTCCAGCACGTGCAACCTTCTCCGCCATCACCATTAACTGAAGTACACGAGACAAAACGGCTTGGAGCGTCCATTTTCACAGGATGAGTGGTGGGCGCGCGCGCGCCCTGGGTCCCCCTCCAAAAGCCGCAAGACGCAGGCGCCCAACTGTCCACAGACGCTCCTTAGGGGGAGGCCCCCCCCCCCCACGCCCCTCGAGGCACAGTGGGAGGTAGAAAGGGTTGGGGGCGGTGGGGGGAGGGCAGGAGAGGAATGGGTGGGGGAAGGGAAGATGGGGGCAGTGGATGGTCACCATGGGTAAATCAGTAATTTACTTTTTAAAAAATTAGTTTCTGATATATAATTCACCTAACATAAAATTCACTGTTCAAAATCCGTACGATTCGGCCGGGAGCGGCCTGTAATCTTAGCACTTTGGGAGGCTGAGGCAGGCGGATCACTTGAGCTCAGGAGTTCGAGACTAGGCTGGCCAACATGGTGAAACCTCGTCTCTAATAAAAATACAAAAATTAGCCGGGCGTGGTGGCGCATGCCTACAATCCCAGCTGCTCAGGAGGCTGAGGCACAAGAATCGCTTGAACCCGGGAGGGGGAGGTTGCAGTGAGCCGAGATCGTGCCACTGCACTCCAGCCTGGGTAACAGAGCGAGTCTCAGTCTCAAAACAAAAAACAAACAAACAAAAATCGTACAGTTCAGTGACATTTAGTATGTTCACAAGGTTGTACAATCATTACAACTATCTGAGCCATTACCTTTTCATCATCCCCTGCAAAAAAACCCTCTACCCATTAGCGGTCACTCCTCATTCCCTCCTCCCTCTGACACCAGGCAACCACCAATCTCTGGATTTACCTTTTCTGGACATTTCATATAAATGGAATCATACAACATGTGACCTTTAGTATCTGGCTTCTTTCATTTAATACTATGTTTTAAAGGTTTATCTATGTTGTAGTGTGTGTCTGAACTTTATTCCTTTTCATACTGCATAGTATTCTTATTGTATGACTACACCACATTGGCTTATCCATTCATCCATTACTAGACATTTGGGTTGTTTCCACCAGCAATTTATATTTATTGAGAGTTTATTCTGTGCCAGGCAGCACCTGGCTAAGTTATTCATCCCATTTCACAGATAAGGAGGTAGAGAATCTGAAGAATTTGCCCAAGATTAAGAGCTAGCTAGCAACTGCTAGCAATAGCTGGGATTTGAACACAGGCATTTTAGACTTAAAAGATAATAGATTCACATGATAGAACATTGGAAAGATACAAAATGGTGACAATGGAAATTCACACTTTCCCCAAGTTTCCCAGCCACCACCACCCCCTCCCTTAGAAGCATCTACTTTTGCCATTTTAAGGATTCTTCCAGATAAATTATTTATTTTTACCCCAACATGTACATATTACAATTTACTGAATAATCTGTCCCATTGATTTGAAATGTCACTTTTATGGTATACTACGTTTCTATGTGTTTGCATTACTCTTTTCAGAACTGTCCTGACTTTTTTGCCTATCTTTTGTTATTTGCCATTTCTCTA